>NC_000010.11:9706969-9858484 GCF_000001405.40 Homo sapiens | reverse complement strand
CCAGTTACCAAAAGGAGCAGATGAAGGTTGAATTCACTGTTTGCATGACTGCTTGAGCTGAGACTTACACCATCCATGGTTTCTGGTTCTTAGGCCTTCAGACTTGAACTGAATTACATCACTGACTTTCTGGGTTTCCATATGTGATAGCAGACTATGAGACTTCTCAGCCTCCATAATCACATGAACAAATTCCTTACAATAGATTTCATTAGACACACACACACACACACACACACACACAAATACATAATTATATATATACACACATATGCATCAACACACATACATATATGTGTGTTCTGCATATAATACAATTACTTTTAAAAGGCAAAAACCGCAGTTACATAGGCCAAAATATTTAAAAGTTACTATACGTCAAGTTAACTGTGAAATAAAATGTTTTCTTCTTCTACTTTGACAAATTCTGTATGATGATTATACTTAACAAATGTGTTTAAATCTGTGATTTTATCTGGAAGATGGCACAAGATCAAAGAAGATAGAATTAACTACCATTATTCATGATTGGGTGCTCAGAAGCTGGGCTAGCAATGTTAGGATGAATAATTAAAAATAAAAACACTATCTACATATTATCTATTTTTATATAAGTTATTTCCTCTATTTTGGTAAAATTGTTAATTTTTTTTGCCATATTTAAGATTTATCACGGGCCAGGTGCAATGGCTCATGCCTGTAATCCCAGCACGTTGGGAGGTCAACGTGGGCGGATAACTTGAGGTCAAGACCAGCCTGGCCAACAGAGTGAATCCGCACCTTTCCTAAAAATACAAAAAAAAAATTAGCAGGGTGTGGTGGTGGGCACCTGTAGTCCCAGCTACTCAGGAGGCTGAGGCAGGAGAATTGCTTGAACCCAGGAGGTGGAGGTTGCAGTGAGCTGAGATTGTGCCGCTGCACTCCAGTCTGGGTGACAGCAAGACTCCCTTGCAAAAAAAAAAAAAAAATATATATATATATATATATTACATAAAACAATGTATTCATAGGAATGTCAAATTAGACAACCTTTCTGGAATTATAATGGACAGATTTTTTGTGTGTTTAAATTATTACTTCAATTTAGGGAAGCTTCACTTGGCTGACTGTAGCAACTTTAAGGTAATAAAATTATTAAAACAATATTTAAATAAGAATGAAATTATGATAATATGTTATGTTAAATACTGTAATGGGCCTAATATAATATATTGTCATTATAGTGGAAAATTTATAAAATATTTTAAGATATAATATAAATTATGTTTTTATTCTCAAATATCCAGAGGTATACAATATTGTGAAGGGTTGGCATTACATTTCACAAATGCTAGATCCATTTTTATCTCTTCATTTCTTTATCATCTATCCATCAATCAGTTGAACATTTAAGACTATTCTGAACTGTTTATTACTACAAAACAGTCCTCATTCACTATGCATAACTGGCTTTTGTAAATGCCATTTAAATTAATGAATACTTCTACCGGCATTGACTGGAATGTGAAGGAAGGCAAGAAAATAGAAATTTGGCACTACTGGAAAGCAACACCTCATTATGTAAAAAAATCAAGTATGTTAATAGTTTCTTGAGAGAAAATATTTGACAAATTAATTGTATTTTCTCTTACTGGAAAAGAAGGGGTTAAGCGGTTGGCCTGAAATTTCTTTCTTTCCCATTTTCAGATCTCAGGGTGGCCTTGGAGTAGAAGGGATAAGTGACCCAAATATAATCTCCTGTAAATATGTTAATAACAGATTTATGGCCAACAAAAGAATAGTATTTGCGAGTAGAAGAAACCTTGTCTATCAAATGCTTCTAGGAAGATGTTTCTAATCTATGGTATTAGTTGACTCAAGCTTTTTTCTTTTCTTTTCTTTTCTGTTCTTTTTTTTTTTTTTTTTTTTTTTTTGAGACGGAGTCTCGCTGTGTCGCCCAGGCTGGAGTGCAGTGGTGCACTGCAACCTCCACCTCCCTGGATCAAGCAATTCCCTTGCCTCAGCCTCCCGAGTAGCTGGGATTACAGGCGCACGCCACCAAGCCTGGCTACTTTTTTTATATTTTTAATAGAGACAGGGTTTCACCATGTTGGCCATACTGGTCTCGAATTTCTGACCTCAGATAATACACCTGCCTCAGCCTCCTAAAGGGCTGGGATTACAGGCGTGAGCCACCGCTCCTGGCGACTCAAGCATTTCTATTGTGTAAACATTCCCTGCAATCCCAGGTAGTGTTCATCTCTGACATCAGTAATGATACAACTCTTAAATTGTCCTGGCATTTGGAAAACTACTTCACCGTGGCCTGAATGGTATTAATCACAAGAGTGGATGTTTAGGGCTATGGATCAAGCTTTGCCAGCACTGAGTGACAGACTCCATGACAGAGGCACACATACATTCTTTAATAAATGCATGAGGTCGTATGATTTTCGGTATGCGAGGCCCTGTATCCAGGCAGGGGTCTCTCTTGTTTGCATCTGAATGTGGCACTGGGACAGAGGAAGAAGTATGAGCGTTGAATGAAGACTGAAATGCATGTGAATGCACTAACTGGTCTCATTCTCATTAGTAGATCATGCTACATTTTCTGATATTTTGTGATATAAAATTGCTATATGATATCTATTATTTAATAGTAAAAAGAAAAACTAGGGATTTTACCCAATCTTACATTCAGAGCAAAAGAAATTGTTGACTTACCCGGCCAGCAGCCCTGTCCGGGAGGTGGGGGGCAGCCCCCGCCCGGCCAGCCGCCCTGTCCGGGAGGTGGGGGGCAGCCCCTGCCCGGCCGCCACCCCGTCTGGGAGGTGGGGGGTGCCTCTGCCCGGCCGCCCGGTCTGGGAAGTGGGGAGCCCCTCTGCCCGACCGCCACCCCTTCTGGGAGGTGGGGGGCCCCTCTGCCCGGCAGCCCCGACTGGGAGGTGGGGAGCCCCTCTGCCTGGCCGCCACCCCGTCTGGGGGGTGTACCCAACAGCTCATTGAGAACGGGCCGTGATGATGATGGCGGTTTTGTCGAATAGAAAAGGGGGAAATGTGGGGAAAAGAAAGAGAGATCAGATTGTTACTGTGTCTGTGTAGAAAGAAGTAGACATAGGAGACTCCATTTTGTTCTGTACTAGGAAAAATTCTTCTGCCTTGGGATGCTGTTAATCTATAACCTTAGCCCCAACCCCGTGCTCTCTGAAACATGTGCTGTGTCCACGAAGGGTTAAATGGATTAAGGGCAGTGCAAGTTGTGCTTTGTTAAACAGATGCTTGAAGGCAGCGTGCTCCTTAAGAGTCATCACCACTCCCTAATCTCAACTACCCAGGGACACAAACACTGCGGAAGTCGGCAGGACCCTCTGCCTAGGAAAACCAGAGACCTTTGTTCACATGTTTATCTGCTGACCTTCCCTCCACTATTGTCCTATGACCCTGCCAAATCCCCCTCTCCGAGAAACACCCAAGAATGATCAATAAATACTAAAAAAAAAAAAAAAAAAGACATTGTTGACTTAATTTAAATTTTTTACAAAGTAGTGAGAGAAATAAGCAATAAAATTGCATTTATCAAATTTGCTGGGTTATGTGTTCAACATACCAGTTATGAAAATGTAGGCTTTTCCTATCAAGAGCTATTATCTAAGAGAAGAGGGTATTCACTGAGGAATGAGTGAACAATGCAAAGGCCGATTGCCTCTGAGAGTTCAGTGCTTCACAGGACTTAGCTGCATTCCCACATCCAGGAAGTCCTTATGCTACTGGCAGAATAACTTTGAAGACTGTTTTATGATTTTGTGATATATATAAAATTAAATTTAGGAAACAGCTTCCTGAGCCTGGTCACCATCTTGTGAAGGCCTACTTCCAATCAATCACTTTTGAGAAATAAATGGAAAAACAGAATCACATTTCTGTATGTATTGAGCATTAACTATGTGCCCAGCATTCTTTTAGGGATTGGGATACGTCAATGAACAAAATAGAGATCCTACACTTACATGGAGCGTTTATTGTTAAAAAAAAAAAAAAACAAAACCCAAAAAACTAAAAACCAAAGATGTTGATAAAACTAGTGAGCTTTAACACTTCTTTTGAGATGTCGTATATATTATTTATTTCTGAAAATCCCTAGAGTTGCCTTTCAAAATTTCATAGACAGAGGATCTCAGGTTTTCTACAACAAGGCAATAATTATAAGAACTTAAATGAACTAAAATTTATTACATCAACTTAAATTAATTGTAAATATTTCAATTCTAATATGCAAGCCACAAACTTCCTTTGCCTAAATAGAAGAAAGAAAATGCTGAGGAGAACAATCATGTAAATCTGGAGCCAAAAATAAGCTCATCCTATTGTGAAATCTGGACATACTAGCAAAAATTAAATGAGAATTCTATTTTCACCTTCTTACGAATTCATTGTGAAAAGATTCTTTCAAGCCATCAGATGGAATTTATTTAAGAGTTGTTTTATGGATTTTTTTTAACCTTTTCAGTGTTTTGAAATTAGATACATTTAAATATTGCAAGAGAGATTAGGGAGGATATTTCCAACACCCCCTTTGCTGTTCTAGAAATGATTAAGGAGTGAGCCTGCTGAAATGGAAAATAGCCAGTGCATTTCTGGCCAGATAAGTGGGAAGCAGTAGCAGCTGGTGAACAGACTGCATTCGGGGACCCAGCTGGACTCCGGGAGATATGGAAAAGGTTTCTGAGGGGTGGTGGTGGCATGCCTTTCCTGGAGGCCTCTAAAAATCAGATGGACACCCTTCTGTGTGAGTTGGGACGTCTGTTCTACTGGCTGATAGATAGAAGATAGTAGGAAGGCATTCCTGCCAGTCATTGAAATTTGTTGAAAATCTGCTATGTACCAGCTGATGGAGACACCCAATGGACAAAATGGACATGACTCTCTGAGTGCTTATAATTCTCTCAAATTGACACTCAGTAAATAAATGGGTCTTTGGTAACAAGGACATCCCTCAGTAAAACACTGCTCTTCATTTTAGTGAGTAGTGCAGTGCTGAGTGCAGCTTGTGGTCTACTGTTTGCTTCTGTGAGTATCCTAAATCAAATTTCTGAAGTAATGAAGCTTGTTAATGTGTGAGGTTTACGAAAACCATTTTGATGTAGACTTGGTTCTCAGTTAAGGGTATTGTGAGAAAAGTTTTACTCCATTAAGTTGCAGATCCTAAAGTGTTATAAATCATTCTATTGAAGTAATATGCCTAGGGCTGGCATATCTTTTTTTTGGACATAAAGAGATTTGCTACACAGTGTTAAATGAACCTCACAGAGAACCAATGGAACAGCAAATATCTTTCCAGCAGGGAGAATGCAATCTTGTACAGGCATCACACTCAACTCCCACAGCGAATGTGAATGTTTTTTTTTTTTCCTTTCTTTTTTTAACATGTTTTTAAGAGCAACAGAAATTGGAAGCAGTGCACAGAACCAAGATGTATAGTCATTAATCCCACTTCCGTTTAGGGATGAGGGTAAAATATTGGATAACCTCAATCACTTCCACTCTCATAGGGGTTTAAGAATATCTGGATCGCTGAGCTGATTACAAGTTTCATTTAAAATGTAACACACTGAGGTCAGTGTAGTTTTGCTGTGACTCATTTTGTTCTCTAAATGACATCTGAAGTTACCTAAATTTTTTTAGTTACCAGCTACCTGAAAGTAGCCAATGTATTTGCTTACTGGCATAAGATGAAAAACATCATTCCAGTATTCAAGTTTTTGCTAAATACAGTTTTTAATATCTGACACTTTATATGCTATAACCAGGCACCCAAGAAGACCAACAACATGAGCAAAAAATGGCAAAACTAATAGAAAATAGAAATAAATCTTCCAGATTTCTAGGTATAGAGACTCAGACTTTAAATGATTATTCTACTGTGGTCAAAATGATACTAAGATCTTTTTATTTCCATAGGAAAGATAAAAATTATTTTAAAAATGACAAAATTGTAAGTGTGGTACTGAAAATGAGTAACTAAATGAAGTATCAGTGGTTAGATAGTAACATTAGAAAATGTCAAAGAGAAAATAAGAAATTAAAAGATAGTTTAGAAAAAATAATCAGAATAGAACATAAAGAGATAAAATGGTAAAAACATGTAGAATTGGTGATAAAGAGAATATTGTGAGAAGCTCTAACATTTGTATCATTTGAGTTCTACAATAAGATAAGGGGAAATTATAAAAGTAATATTTACCAAGATCGGCACTATCAACTTTCCACAACTGATGAAATACACTATATTACAAATTAAAGATATTATATGAGTTAAAATATGTTTACAAAAGGAAGGAAAGATGGAAGTAAGAATGTTAGGAAGGAAGAGAGGAAGACAGAACAAAGTTTACAAGGAAGTATATCATAGAAATTGCCCAGAGGTATAGACAGAGAAACTATCTTAAAAGCAGCCTAAGAAAGATAGATTACTTTCAAATGAGCAACAAGTTTGGTTAACAGCTGACTTCTCAACAGAAATAATGAAAGGCATAGACAATGGAAATAAAGCAAATAACTTCCAAAGAATAATTCTCAGTAATAATTTCTGAAAGAATAAAGATGAAATAGAAAATTTTAGACAAAAAATGAAGAGCTCATAAGCAGCAGACATTCAGTAAACATAATGCAAAAGGTGAGGGTTTAAAGTATAAAAAGATAATGTGACATTTCAGAGATACTAGAAGGAAGAAAGAGCAACAAAAATGCTACATATCTTCATACATCTAAGTGAATTTAACTAACGTATCACTATTTTTTGTATTTTAAATACACAATTAAAACACAGGAATACAGTAGTGTAAAATCAAAGTGGGGAATAGGATGGTAGTAAATGGAGTTAAAGTGTTTTAAATTTTTACATTTTCCAGTGATAGGATAAATGACAGATTAAATTTAGATTCTGATAAGTGACAAATGGACATTGTATTTTTTTAGGTAGCCACTAATATGTTTAAAATGTATAATTTCCAAGTAAGTAGAGGAAAGAAAAGGGAAATAAAAATGCCTAATTATATAGAAGACCAGAAGCAAGAGAAAAAATAACATACAACTTATGAGACAAATCAAGATCAAATAGGAAAAGAGAAAGCACTACATTCTGGTTACTATATGATAAGTAAAGGGGATAAATGTCCCTTTTATTTATCATATAAGTATGTGATAAGATATGAAAGATAAAGACCATCAGGATGATTGCTTTTAAAGCTAACTTTGTGGTATTTGCAAGTTACACATCTAAACATAAAGAATACATAAATTCGAATATAAGAAGATAGAAAAGGACATATCATGCAAACAAAAACTAAAAGTAAACTGCGAATATATTCAAATGTATAAGGAAGAAATAATGCTGTTATTACACAAAGTATACATGCTTCTTGACTTTTGATGGGGTTACTTCCTGTTAAACTGATTGTAACATTGAAAAATCATATGTAGAACTATTAGAAGTTGGAGACTGTATTTTAGATGGCAGAAAACCAGGAACATTCCCCAACTCATAAAGTAATACAAGTTTGTCTCTATCTCATATAAAAATCTCACTCAAAAATTCTAAGCAAATATTATCAAATTTATCTAGCAATATATAAATACAATAATGTGGTGGTTTGCAAAAATGACCACAGTACTTTGCAGCAGCTCTTGTCAAGAGGTGAAACCCATTTTCCATGTCATGAATCTATGTTGATCATGCAACTTGCAACAATAACAAATACGATATAAGCAGAAGCTTAAAAGCACTCTCAAATGTTGGAGCTTGCTACTCTTGAAGTACTGCTGTTTTGTGGACAAACCTGTATTTGCTACTGTATGATAAGCCACACATAGCCAAGTCACCTCTATTGCTCCCGTTGTCAGCCTGCCAACTGCCAGATATAGAAGGTTATGCAAGGACCTTGAGACCCCAGCCAAACTGAAAATTGCCTGCAGAGACACAAAATAGCCTAGCTCAGATCAGTCAAACCAATCCCAGATCAGAGCTACTCAGAAAATCATGGCCTAAATAAATGACTTTCGTTTTAAGCCACTATTGCTATCTTTCTGAAATTATATCATAACCAAGTTGGTTTCATCTCAGAGATGCAAAGGAGTTTTAACTGAACCTGTATTAGACTTATTCTGTTGGCAAGAGTCAATTCAAACAAGCATCACAACCACTGATTAGATTAATAAAACACTGAGAACTCATTTCTTAAATTTATAAAAATATCTTAGGAAAAAGAGATTAAAGAGATGCCTACCAAATGGGAATCTGGGTGACTATCTAAAATAGAGTTGAGAGGTGTGTGTCTAAAATAGAGAGACACCTAGGGATTAAAAAACAAAAACAAAACAAATGATGACAAATCTAAGAAATATGCCTAAAAAAGGACTATGTAGCTATTAACGTGTGGAGTTGACTGGAATCAAATATAGAAGATTATTGAGACAATCATATTGCTAAAGAAATTCCCAGCTTAAAGCATATGTAGTTATTTAAAACTTGAAGCAACTTTTGGAATTTCCCCAAGCTCAAATAAGCAGAAAGTTAGCTAAGAAAGCCACAGAGAAAACAAGGCATTTTCTACAAAGGTCTATTCAGATAAAGCCAAAGACAATGATAAAAAATTAAGGGCCTCCAGCAGGGAGGATACAAGGCCCAAGTAAGATTATAGAGAAAAAAATCCAAAACCAGAGACCAGAATCAGAGTCTATTCAAAGGATATTACCCATTCTGAATATAGGGACAATTTCAGTACCTGCCTAGGAAAATCTAATAATTGTTATGGACTAATGGCTGATATGTATGTTCTGTTCTTCCCTTATACAAAGAGAGAATTTATTAGTAGTATCTTATTTATATTTATGTTCCACAGAAGTTTTTAGTTCTTGGATTAAGCAGAATCACATCCTAACCTGACACAGAGATTAACTCACATTAGGAGACACCGTGGACTTTGAATTCAAAATAGGAACTTTTTGGAACTTTTGAATTTTCTCCCTTAGCATGAAGATGATTATGTTCTGGTTATGTGAACCTGAACAAACCAAGTATTTGGAGAAATGAAGGACAGTCTCTGCTAGACTACATTACTTTTCTCCAAAATCCAGTTGACCTCTTTTCTGGAAGATTTTACTTCCATTGTTCTTTGAAGTCATGCAAGGCCACGTGGCATTTTTTGGTCAGTGGAATGCGATTAGAAATGACATGTCTTTTCCATGTAGCAACTTTAATAGCTAGCACATGCTTTGCCAGCTTCATCCCCATTCTTCCCTACCACTGGCTACCAGTCAACATTCCAGACAGCTGCTCTGCCCAAATAACCTTGGAGCAAGGATGCCATCATGAGGGTGAGTCACTGGCCAACCTGCAGTGGACAAGCATTTATTGGTTTAGACCACTGAGACTTGGGGAATTTTGTTACTTTGGTGTAACCCAGCCAATCATGACTGATACAAATCCAAATGTTTATTATTGGTAAAAGAGTAAATAAGT
This sequence comes from Homo sapiens, assembly GCF_000001405.40. Classification (NCBI taxonomy): domain Eukaryota; kingdom Metazoa; phylum Chordata; class Mammalia; order Primates; family Hominidae; genus Homo; species Homo sapiens. Next base: position 9,848,988 of record NC_000010.11, on the reverse strand, counting down.
TGTGCTTCTTGCAGAAAACCAGGAACATTCCCCAACTCATAAAGTAATAGAAGTCTATATCTCTACCTCCTATAAAAACCTATACTCAAAAATCCTAAGCAAATATTATCAAATTAGCAGTATATACATACAATAATGTGGTGGTTTGCAAAAATGACCACAGTACTTTGCAGCAACTCTCATCAAGAAGTGAAGCCCATTTTCCATGTCATGAATCTATGTTGATCATGCAACTTGCTTTGACCATTAAGATAATAACAAATATGATGTAAGCAGAAGCTTAAAAGCACTCTATAATAGAATACTACACAACTTGTAAAATGAACACATTTTCCAACAGCAAGAATAATTTTCATGAATACAATATTGAGACAAAAATCTAAATTGAATACATTCTATATAATTTAATTTCTGTGAAGCCTGAAACAGGCAAAACTAGAGTATAGTGTTTTAACATGCAAGCTCACTTGGCAAGGCTGTAAAATCAAGTGATTAACATGGTAGTCATCTTTACATAGGGAATGTTAGGTAAAAAGGAAAGGGTGTGAAGGACTTCTGAGATTCTATTCCTTGATGTGGGTGCAGTTTTCAAACATATTTGTTTAGTGATAGTTTGTTGAGCTGTGCATTTAGAAATAATTTCAAAAAGTAATTCCACAAGCATAGAAGGTAAAGTCATTACATCAATCACATTCTTACATTGTAATATCTCATTGTTCTGATAAATTCCATTGATACATGCAAGACCAAAGATGGATTAAGCTCTAGTTTTAGCTTATAAACACATAAAGAAAAGGAATGCCAGGTCCTTGCCTGATTTTAAAATTACCATTGCTTTTCAAATATGTTTTGACCCTTAAATGATTGCTTTGAAGTTCTAAAACAGATATTATAAATAAGATTAATAGAAAGCCATATTTCCAGTCAGATTCTTTTAATATACAGCCAATTATTTTGAGCTGTTAAATGAAGAAAAGGTCACCATTTGTTTTACACTATTGACTAAGAGAAATCAATGGTATAATAATTATTGTTATTATTTTGAAAACAACCAGTCATCCCTGAGGAAAACTCTTAGGACATTATTTAAGTCTTAATGTTATTTATATCTCTTAGTCAATGAAAAATTTTTTCATTGACAATTATGACTGTCAACAGGTTTCTGTTAAACTAACCATAAATAAATATTTTCTAGTGAACTAAAATCAAATAAATGAACTATGATACCTTGGTCAGGTCTTGTTACACATTGAAAGTCAAGTTAATAAATATATTTCCAAAATGAGTCCTATCATTTTGACACATATTCAAAGCTACCACAATTCTGAATACAACATATACTCCTCTTTTTAGCTTCTGGCACTAACCTGAACATACTTTGTTTATCCAATAAGACTTATTTCACTATTAACCCATGAATGTACTCTAAATATTCACCCTATATAGTCCCATTTCTATGTCTTTGCTTAGGTACATAATATAAAACTACTTATCCATTATTTCCTTGTTAAAAATGACAATAGAGGTAATTTTTTTCTCATTCACATTAAAAAATTGGAGTATTTCAGTGCAAATTAAATGATTTTTTTATAATGGTGTTTATAAAAACCATGAAATGGTTTATTAAAATAGAGTATGGAGTATAAAAGTAAATCCTATGACAAACATTAAAGAACATCATCCATTCCTCATTCATCCCTGAGTGTCTACTGCATTTCAGGCATGTTTCTAGCTGCTAGCAATAGAGAAGGGTGCAAAGAACACAGAAAGTCCTGTCCTTGTGACATTTACTTTTTAGTGAAAAAGAAAGTAAATAAATGAAGAAACACATGAGTAAAATATAATTAAATGTTGGGAAATTTAACTATGAAATAAAGTAGAGAAAAGTTTAAGGGGTGTTGAAGGGAAGGTTTCAGATTTAAATTGTAAATTGGGGAAAGCCTCACTGAGAAGCTGTTACTGGAGCAAAGTCCTAAAGCATCAGAGAGATGACAGTGTGAGCCTTGTGGACATGTCAGGGAGGAATTTTCTAGGAAGAGGTAGCAAGAACACCAGTATAAAGGCCTTGGGGTGGGAGTGTGGCTGTGGTGTTTATGACAGAGCTGGTGATACAGGAGCTAGAAAGAAATTATTTAGGCAGATAGTGAGGGTAAAAGAGTCCTTGGCAAGGCTTCCCTTCTACCAAAAAGCAGTCCTCCAGAATCATTTCTTTTCTAATAAAGAGCAGCCTGAAAAATCAAGCTGCATAGATAAGCAAGCTGGAAGCTTGCACAGGGGAATGCTGGCAGCTGTGCCAATAGAAAAGGGCTACCTGGGGCCCAGGCATGTCTAACATGGAGGCTCCATCTTCCCTTTTGCTGTTGTCATGTGCACAGTAAAAGAATGGGCAGTGTGACACCAGCCAGGCAGATAACCCATCTGCATAAGAAAAAAATAACAGGAGGAGAGGGGCAGGGGGCACCAGAAATTCACACCCTATGCAAATGGCCCATCTAGTCCTACCAGTTGTTCATGCCGTATGCAAATGGAATACCTGGTCCAACCAATATTTTGCCCCCTATGTAAATCACATACCGCCTTCTCAAGCTCACTGTAAAACCCCCTGCATTTCACTGCGGGACCGGAAGCCCATTCAGGACCCCTCTCTCTGCAGCAGAGAGAGGGCTATTCTCTTTCTGTTGCCTATTAAACTTCCACTCTCAACCTCATTCTTTGTGTGTACACATCCTAGTTTTCCATGGCCATGAGACAACGAATCTCAGGTATCACCCCAGACAATGAGGCCACTTCACTGGGGAATAGACTAACTGAAAAACAAAGCACAATGCAGTGACTGATAGAGGAAGATATCAGAGAGGTTAGTTAATCTGAAGTCTTGTACATTTTGGTTATGACTTTGGCTTTTGCTCTGTGTGATATGATATGGCTACTATGGACTGAATGTTCATATACCTCCCAAATTCATGTTGAAACCCTAATCTCCAATGTGGTATTATTTGGAGGTGAAAACTTTGGGAGATATTTAGGTTTAGATGTGGTCGTGAGGGTGGGACTTCATGATGAGCTTAGTGCTCTTAGAAGAAGAGGAAGACACCAGAGACCTCTTCCTCCCCACCATGTGAGGATACAGGGAGAAGGCAGCCTCTGCAAGCCTGGAAGAGTCCTCTTCCATCACAGAATCTGCCAACACCTTGATCTGAGACTTCCCAGACACAAACAAATTACTGTTGCATAAGCCACCCAATCTGTGGTGTTTGATTATAGCAACCCAAACTTCCTAAGACAGTGGAATTGGAATATTTTGAGCAGAAAAGTGACCTCACCTGACTGAGTTGTAATCACATTGGTTTTGCTCCTTGTTGAGAATAGACCTAACATGCCAAATGCAGGGAGACCATGTGGGAGATTATGGTGATTTGGAGCAATTTGACTAGAGTGAAGATTGTGAACAGTGGATCTTGAACATAACTTTAGCATGCTGCTGGCAGGATTTGCTGGAGATGTGTTGTAGAATGTAAGAGAAGGAAAGGAATGAAAAATAACTCCAAGTTTGTTTGTTTGCCAGAGTCATTGGGAGGAGAGAGTTGAAGTGAGGACACACATGGATGTTTGGAGAGTAGAATTCTTGAAGGTTGTAAAAAAATAAGCACATTTTTACAATTACAAGGACAACATATAACCATGACAATGAGTGGCCTGGTTGAGATGGAAAACAAGATTATTGAAGGTCAGTAGGTTAAAGAGCTGACAAACAGGGTGATTGGAAGGATGATCTACATAACAATAGAAAGTTTCAAAAATTAGAAAGGAATTTCAGAAAGAAGGAGAGTGTACAAGGAGGTACAGTCTTTAAAGAAGAGGGCATTTTATATGGGCTGGAAAAGCATTGTAACAAAGTGGCATAGTAGGTAGTATAATACAATGACATAAATTTCATACTGGCATTATCAGGAGAAGGAAGGCAGGAAAGAGCCAAAAGGATAGAGGAAGTCAACTCCTCTCCAGGTCTGACATAGCAGGTGTGTAGGAGAAAGAATACATTCACTACTAGAAAGTGCTATGGGAAAGTACTGGAGAAAGTGAAGGGGACATTCAAAGAAGAGGTTAGGGCATTTTCAGTCTCTCTAATCACTGGCCATCAGTGACAGAAGGTACCATGGGAGGTGTCACTACCTAAGAGGTGGATAATGAGCCAGAAAAGGGATGGAACATAGTTTTATAGAGATGAGAGACTAAATGATTAGGGTGATCTAGGATACTGTTAAAAATTAAAAATGCTTGTTCTCAGATGTAATAGTAATAGCACTTGAACATAAATTTAATTCTCTCAGCAAGGCAATTTTTACTTTCTGCAGAAAGGGTGCTTATCGCAGATGGAACAATGGTGAGAGCACACCTGGATGCAGAGTGGCAGGAGTTCTTATTCCTGATGCAGGTAGCCCCTACTGCTGTGTCATTCCCCTATTGGCTAGGGTTGGACCACACAGTCTAAGCTAATTCTGATTGGCTATTTTAATGAGGGAAGGTTTTGAGCTAGAGTGGCAGGGTGAGTAGTTTGGCGGGAAGGACGGTTAGGAACAGGTAACTAAAGGTGACTTAGGTCAGAGCAGGTGACCAAAGGTGACTCAGGTCAAAGCAGGTGACCAGGATGTGTCAGGATGGAGCAGGTGATCAAGGGGAACAGATGTGAACTACTGATCAGGACCAGTGGAAAAGTTGTTTACTGAAACTAGAAGCAAGTGGGAGAAAGAACCAGGAAGGTAAACTTTAAAATGGAGAATCAAAGAATAAGAGAGCTGAACATACTGACATACTGATTCTTTGAAGAGAAACTTGGAGTTCACTATATTTAACAATACCCTGGCCTCATCGAGTGACTTTTATGAGTGAGATTAGTTGGAAAGTTCTCTAAACATATAATTGTCTGAGGCTATGCATTTTGATGCAGGGGAATTAAGTGGCATCTTACCAATTACAAAATTGTGGTTGTCTTATTTGACTTCTGCTGCAATTTATAAATTGACAAAGACTCTCATTCACCAAACTGAGTTTTCTGTTGGTTTCTGGCCATGGAAGATTAACTAGTTAACATATTAATTAATTAATTCATTCATTCATTCATTTCATGAAGACTTTGAATATGTGTGTGTGTGTGTGTGTGTGTGTGTGTGTGTGTGTGTGTGTGTTCCAGGGGCTGAGAGTAGAGTGGCAAGCAAAAACAAAAAAAATCCCTGCTGTTAATTAAAGATGTTATACTCCAGTTGGAGTGGTAGTAGTGATAGTGTTGGTTGACGTAAATACAACTGACCCTTGAACAATGCAGGGATTAGGGGAGCTCACCCCTGTGTGGTTGAATATCTGCATATAACTTTTGATTCCTCAAAACACAACTACTAATAGCCTACTATTGATTGAAAGCCTTACCAATAAACAGTTAACACATATTTTATATGTTATATGCATTATATACTATATTCTTACAATAAAGTAAGCTAAAGAAAATGTTATTAAGAAAATCGTAAGGGGCCAGTCACGGGGGCTCATGCCTATAATCCCAGCACTTTGGGAGGCCAAGGCAGGCGGATCACCTAAGGTCAGGAGTTCAAGACCAGCCTGGTCAACATGATGAAACCCCGTCTCTACTAAAAATACAAAGATTAGCCAGGCATGGTGGTGTGTACCTGTAGTCCCAGCTACTTGGGAGGCTGAGGCAGGAGAACTGCTTGAAACCAGGAGGCAGAGGTTACAGTCAGCAGAGATCACGCCACTGCACTCCAGACTGGGCAACAGAGTGAGACTCCATCTCAAACAAAACAAAACAAAACAAAACAAAAAAGAGCCAAACAAAACCAAAAGAAAGAAAATAATGAGAGAAAATATATTTCTACTTATTAACTGGGAGTAAACCATCGTAAAGGTCTTCATCCTAGTCATCCTCATGTTGAGTAGGTTAGGAGGAGGAGGAAGAGAAGGGGTTTGTCTTACTGTCTCAGGAATGGCAGAGATAAAAGAAAATCCATGTAGAAGTGGACCCATGCAGTTCAAACTCGTGTTTGTTCAAGGATCAACTGCCCTTAAAGGAAAATATTGGATAACAATGGATGAAACTAAAGCAGAATAAGTTATAGGCTATCATGGAGGTGCTATTTTAGATGGAGAAGTCAAGGAGGCCTTTTAGAAGTGATGACTTTTAACAGAAATTGAATGAAATGAAGGATGACGTCTGTGAAATCTAAGAGTTGCAGCAGCGGGGCACTAAGAGCAAAAGACCTGCAGCAGGTCTGTGTATGACATGTTTGAGCAAGAGTGAATGAAAACACAGCTAGGGAGGACTGAGTCCAGGAGAAGGTGAAGGGCTGTGAGTCAGAGAGGAGCAAGACCATGTAGCACAGGGTTTCCCAGCCTCAGAACTGTTGACATTTTGGGTGTTTTTGTGCCATGTAAGATGTTTATCTATATTCTTGGCCTCTACTCACTAGATGCCCGCTGCTCCCCCATCTCATATCGTGACATCAAAAAGTGTCTCCAGACGTTGTAAAATGTTTCTAGGTGGCTAGGGAAGAAGTGGGATCAAAAATACCCCCAGGTGAAAATCACTGCTTTAGTATATTACAAGCTTTGCTATACAGTTTAATGAAAAAACATTGATGGGTTTTGTGCTGAGAAAGAAAAAAAGTCTTAAATTTTTAAAAGATAACTACAGTTGCTCTGTGGAAAATCAATCATAGGGGCAAACAGTGGAAGACAGTATTCTGTCTGTGTTTCCAGTTGTCCAAGTGAAGGAAATGGCATGTGGACTAGAATGGTGTTGAGTTGTAGTGGCAGAGGCGATGACAGCGGTGGAACTGTGAGAAGGGATTGAGGTGAGAATATTTTTGGGAGTTACAGCCAGAAAAGCCTGTGGTTTTGGATATGAGCACTCAGGGCAAGCATGAACCTGAGGGTTCTTACCTTAGCCTAACCTAGGTATCCTTTACTAAGGTGCTAATAACCTGGGAGAAGCAGAATTGCGGTGGGGAGGGAGGAATCAGATCAAGTTTTAATGCTAATTAGGAATTTGAGTGGACGGTTACATATACTAGGCTGCATTTCAGCGGGCGGGTGGTGCTAAATGTATCATCTTGGGGCTGTCATGTCAGGTCAAATCTATATTTCTTTCCTGAAGCTGCCCAACTAAAGTACAGAAATACCTCAAAGATACTGCAAATTTGGCTCTAGACCATCATGATAAAGAGAGTCACACGAATTTTTTGGTTTCCCAGTGCATATAAAAATTATGTTTGTACCATACTGTAGTCTATTAAGTGTACAATGGCATTATTTCTAAAATCAATATGTATATACCTTAATTAAATATACTTTGTTGATTACAAAATGCTAATGTTTATCTGCACCCTCAGCAAGTCCTAATCTTTTAGCCAGGGGAGAGTGTATGGCCTAGAGGTTGATGGCTGTTGATCAGGTTTGTGGTTGCTAAAGGTTAGAATGGCAGTGGCAGTTTCTTAAAATAAGTCAACAATGAAATTTGCCACATTGATCAACTCTTCCTTGCACGAAAGATTTCTCTGTAGCATGATATGCTGCTTGATAGCATTTTACCCACATTAGAACTTCTTTCAATTGGAGTCAATCCTCTCAAACCTTACTACTGCTTTATCAGCTATTTTATGAAATATTCAGAATCATTTGTTAACATTTCAAAAGTGTACGCAACATCGTCACCAGGAGTAGTTTCCATCTTGAAAAATGACTTTCTTTGCTTATCCATAAAAAAGCAACTCCTCATTCATACAAGTTTGATCTTTTTTTCTTTCTTTTTTCGTTATTTTTAATTTTTTTATTTCAATAGGTTTTTGGGGAACAGGTGGTATTTGGTTACATTAATAAGTTCTTTAGTGGTGATTTCTGAGATTTTCGTGCATCCATCACCTGAGCAGTGTACACTGTACCCAATGTGTAGTCTTTTATCCCTCGTCCCCCTTCCATCCTTCCTCCCGAGTCCCCAAAGTCCAATGTAGTATTCTTATGGCTTTGTGTCTTATAGCTTAGCTCCCACATATGAGTGAGAACATACGATGCTTAGTTTTCCGTTCCTGAGTTACTTCACTTAGAATTTTGGTCTCCAGTTCCATCCAGGTTGCTGTGAATGCCATTATTTTTTTCCTTTTTATGGCTGAATAGTATTCCATGGTATATATATTTTCTTTTCCTTTCTTTTCTTTTTTTTTTGGCTGCATAAATGTCTTCTTTTTTTTACATTTTATTATTATCATACTTTAAGTTTTAGGGTACATGTGCACAACGTGCAGGTTTGTTACATATGTATACATGTGCCATGTTGGTGTGCTGCACCCATTAACTCGTCATTTAGCATTAGGTATATCTCCTAATGCTATCCCTCCCTCCCCCCAACCCACAACAGTCCCATTCAGGACATAGGCATGGGCAAGGACTTCATGTCTAAAACACCAAAAGCAATGGCAACAAAAGCCAAAATTGACAAATGGGATCTAATTAAACTAAAGAGCTTCTGCACAGCAAAAGAAACTACCATCAGAGTGAACAGGCAACCTACAGAATGGGAGAAAATTTTCGCAACCTACTCATCTGACACAGGGCTAATATCCAGAATCTACAATGAACTCAAACAAATTTACAAGAAAAAAAACAAACAACCCCATCAAAAAGTGGGCAAAGGATATGAACAGACACTTCTCAAAAGAAGACATTTATGCAGCCAAAAAACACATGAAAAAATGCTCATCATCACTGGTCATCAGAGAAATGCAAATCAAAACCACAATGAGATACCATCTCACACCAGTTAGAATGGCGATCATTAAAAAGTCAGGAAACAACAGGTGCTGGAGAGGATGTGGAGAAATAGGAACACTTTTCCACTGTTGGTGGGACTGTCAACTAGTTCAACCATTGTGGAAGTCAGTGTGGCGATTCCTCAGGGATTTAGAACTAGAAATACCATTTGACCCAGCCATCCCATTACTGGGTATATACCCAAAGGATTATAAATCATGCTGCTATAAAGACACATGCACACATATGTTTATAGCAGCACTATTCATAATAACAAAGACTTGGAACCAACCTAAATGTCCAACAATGATAGACTGGATTAAGAAAATGTGACACATATACACCATGGAATACTATGCAGCCATAAAAAATGATGAGTTCATGTCCTTTGTAGGGATGTGGATGAAACTGGAAACCATCATTCTCAGCAAACTATCGCAAGGACAAAAAACCAAACACAGCATCTTCTCACTCATAGGTGGGAATTGAACAATGAGATCACATGGACACAGGAAGGTGAACATCACAAGTTTGATCTTAAGATTGCAGCCATTCAGTGTCCTCTTCAGGCTCCTTTTCTAATTCTAGTTCTCTTGCCCTTTCTATTATATCTATAGTTGCTTCCTCCACAGAAATCTTGTACCCCTCAAAGTATTCATGAGGGTTGGAACCCACTTCTTTTATACTCCTTTTTAAAAATTGTTAAAAATCTATTTATTTTTATATTTTCTTCTTCTTTTTTTTTTAAACTTCAATAGGTTTTGGGGGAACAGATGGTGTTTGGTTACATGAATAAGTTATTTATTGGTGATTTCTGTGATTTTGGCACACCCATCACCCAAGAAGTATACACTGTACCCAATGTGTAGTCTTTGATCCCTCACCCCACTCTTGCCCTTTCCCCTGAGTCTCCAAAGTCCATTGTATCATTCTTATGCCTTTGTGTCCTCATAGCTTAGCTCCCACTCATGAGTGAGAACATAGGATGTTTGGTTTCCCATTCTTGAGTTACTTCACTTAGTATGATGGTCTCCAATTCCATCTAGGTTGCTGCGAATGCCATTATTTCATTCCTTTTCATGGCCAAGTAGTATTCCATGGTGCCTGTGTATGTATACATGTATGTATGTGTGTATATGTATCACAATTTCCTTATCACAATTTCTTTATCCCCTCATTGACTGATGGGCACTTGGGCTGGTTCCATATTTTTGCAATTGCGAATTGCGCTGCTGTAAACAACTTTATATCTTTTTATATAAGTGTCTTTTTCACATAATGACTTCTTTTCCTCTGGGTAGATACCCAGTAGTGGGATTGCTGGATCAAATGATAGTTCTACTTTTAGTTCTTTAAGGAATCTGCACACTGTTTTCCATAGTGGTTGTACTAGTTTACATTCCCACCAGCAGTGTAAAAGTGTTCCCTTTTTGCCACACCCATGTCAACATCTATTTTTTTTTATTGTGGCCATTTTTGCAGGAGTAAGGTGGTATTGCATTGTGGTTTTGATTTGCATTTCCCTGATCATTAGTGATGTTGAGCATTTTTTCATATGTTTGTTGGCCATTTGTATATGTTGATATTTTGACCTACCATGAATCACAAATGTTCTTAATGGCATCTAGAATAGTGAATCCTTTCCACAGGTTTTCAGCTTACTTTGCACAGAACCATGAGTGGGATCACTATCTATGGCAGTTATAACCTTACAAAGTGCATTTGTTAAATAACTTGAACGTCAAAATTACTCCTTAATCCATGGGCTGTAGGATGGATGTTGTGTTAGCAGGCATGAAAACATCATTAATCTTTTTGTGCATCTTCATCAGAGCTCTTGGGTGACCAGGTGCATTATCAATGAGCAATAGTATTTTGAAAGGAATATATTTTTCTGAGCAGTTGCTCTCAACTGTGGGCTTAAAATATTCACTAAGCCATGCCATAAACAGATGTGCTGTCACTCAGGCCTTGTTGTTCCATTTACAGACCACAGGCAGAATAGATTTAGCAAGTTCTTAAAAGCTCTAGAATTTTCTGAATAATAAATGATCGTTGGTTTTAATTTAAACTTAGCCACTGTATTCTCTCCTAACAAGAGTGTCAGCCTGTCCTTTGAAGCTCTGAAGCCAGGCATTGACTTCCTCTCTAGCTCTGAAAGTCCCAAACAAACGGCATCTTCTAATATACGGCTGTTTCAACTACGTTTAATAAAAATCTGTTGTTTAATGTAGCCATTTGCATCAGTGATCCTACCTAGATCTTCTGGATAACTTGCTCCAGTTTCTCCATCATCACATCCTCCTTCACCTTGCACTTTTATGTTATGGAGATTGTTTCTTTCCTTCAAGGTCATGAACCAATCTCAGCTAGCTTTTGACTTTTCTTCTGCAGTTTCCTCACCTCTCTCAGACTTCATAGAATTGAGGAGAGGTAGGGCCTGTTCTAGATCAGGTTTTGACTTAAGAGAGTGTTGTTACTGGTTCAATCTTCTTTCCAGACCACTCACATTTTCTCTATATCAGCAATAAGCCTATTTCAATTTTTTTTTGTCATTTGTGTATTCACTGGAGTAGCACTTTTAATTTTCTTCAAGAACCTATTCTTCACATTCACAGCTTGGCTAACTTTTTGATGAAAGAGGTGTACTTTTCAGCCTCAGCTTTTGACATTCCTTCCTCACTAAGATTAATTATTTCTAGCTTTTGATTTAAAATGAGATACATGAGTCTATTCCTTTAAGTTGAACGTTTAGAGGACATTATAGGGTTATTAGTTGGCCTAACTTCAGTATTGCTGTATCTTGAAGAATATACAGGCCTGAGGAGAGGAGGAGAGGTGGCAGAATGGCAGGTCCCTGGAGCATATGGAAAACATACATTTATTGATTAATTTGTTGTCTAATATGAGATGAGTGTGGTGGCCCCGATTACAATAGTAACGACAAAGATCGCTAATCACAGAACACCATTACAGATACAATAATAATGAAAAAGTTTGAAATATTGTGAGAATTATCAAAATATGACATTCAGACATGGTGTAAGCACACGCTGTTGGAAAAATGATGCCAGTAGACTTGCTTGATGCAGGATTTCCACGAACCTTTCATTTATACAAAATTGTCTGCAAAGTGCAATAAAGTGAAGCATAATAACACGAGGTATGTCAGTACCACAAACTAACTGGCTTAACCAACAGAAATGTATTGTCTCTCATAATTCTGGAGGCTAGAAGTCTGCAATCAAGGTGTGGCAAGGTTGTTTGTTTCTGAGGGTTAAGAGGAAGAAATGCTTTATATCTCTCCCCTGACTTCTGATGGTTTTCTGGCCATCTTTGGGGTTCCCTAGCTCACAGAAGCATTGCCTCCATCTGCATGTGTCTTCACAAAGTGTTCTCCTGTGTTTGTGTCTTAATTTCAATTTTTTAAGGGCATTAGTCATATTGTATTAGAGGCCCATCCTACCCCAATATGAGCTCATCACAACATAACTAGTTAAATCTGCAGTGACGCACACATTTTTAACAAACGCTTGTACAAACGATGTATGTCTTCATACAATTAGCAACTGGGAAGGAAAAAAAAAACAAAAAAAGATAAAGCAGAGACAGTTTGAGAATTGAGCCCTGAGGCCCACTAATATGTGTAGATCAGGAAGGTAGTGACCAGAAATAGGCAAATCATACAGAATTCTTCAGGAGAAATGGCCACAGTATTGAAAAATAAAAGGAGATGGTGTTGGTCTGGAAACAGCGAACAAAGTGTTTCAGATACCAGGGAGTAGTCAGTCGTGAGAAACACAATAAGAATAAAAGAAGGCTTGAGAGTTGCCTATTGCATTTACCAGAATAGAGGACTTAGATGAGGTAGATAAAAGCTTTGAGATGAAAGTCTTATAGAAGAGTTTAGAAGAGAAAAATGACATGAGGTGTCCAAGAAAATAAATGTAAAAAACTTTGGAAGAGATAGTCTAAACAAGAGCACAGAGTTACAGGAATTGGTAGATTATCAAGTTCTCCTAGATAATGTCTTTGTGGATATACCATCATGTGCCACGTAATGATGTTTTGGTCGATGACAGACGACATATACAATGGTGGTCCCATAAGATTATAATGCCATATTTTTGTTGTACCTTTTTATGTCTATATATGTTTAGATACACAAATGCTTATCATTTTGTTATAATTGCCTAGAGTATAATAGAGTTAAATTCCATACAGGTTTGTAGACTACGAGCAATAGGCTCTACCATATAACCTAGGTGGGCATTAGCCTCTACTATCTAGGTTTATTCGAGTATACTCTGTGATGTTCATATAACAAAAAAATTGCCTAATGATGCATTTCTGAGAATGTATCCCTGTGGTTAAGTGACTCATGATTATACTAATTATGTTCTAAAAATCAGATTATTGCATTTTTATTTTTGCTTCTAGGTCATTAAATATTTTATATTTCTCTGTACTTATATCAAATTCCTATTTTATCAGAAAGCCAAATATTAAGTGAGTAATGTATTATCGTGATAATATAATGCAGTATAATATATGAAAATATTTATATAATTTTAAGAAATAGCTACAAGTCAAAGCTCTGAAATTTTATGCTCAACATATTCTATTCTCTTTTTTTTTTTTTTTTTGATACAGAGTTTTGCTCTGTCACCTAGGCTGAAGTGCAGTGGCACAATTAGAGCTCACTGCAGCTTTAATCTCCTGGGCTCAAACAATTCTCCTGCCTCCGCCTCCCAAGTTCCTAGGAGTACAGGTGTGCACCACCATGCCTGGCTAATTTTTAAAGTCTTTTGTAGAGGCAGGTTCTTGCTATTTTGCCCAGGCTGGTAAACTCCCAGCCTCAAGCAATCTTCCCGCCTCAGCCTCCAAAGAACTTGGATTATTATCCTAAGCTACTGAACCCAGCCCATATTCTTAATTATTTAGTTCATATATTAATCACCTTGCATGAGGCAGCCAGGTTAAAAATGTTGAGAGTTTTCTTCCCATATATAAAATTTTAAGAGTACATAAAAATATGCAGTTATAAATTATCACCTAACTATATAATCAAACATTTAAAAATTATTTTATAGTATATATATTTACATTTTTCTTCAGAGATATATGGCAACCTCATTTCATAAAGAGTTGACACTTAATACAAAGAAGATAAACAATGAACATTTCCAGCATAAATATAAAACTGACACATTGAGTAAAGCCCAAGTACAAAGTCTCACAAACACATTTAAAAACAGCATGTGTCTGTCTCCAAAAAAATAGCATCTGGCTTAAGGGGTGGAAAGAATTAATCTACATATCCTATACTTATAAGCATAAGTAAAAGCTGGTTTATGTCTGTTAATTCCTAACATCTATTATCTCAAGTTATTTCTACAATCATTAGAAATTGTTTTGCTTCTCTAGCTTACACCTGTCTTCTTGAACATTAATGGAACTGGAAAAGTTATACTCTGTTATTTTCTTCTTTAATTGAAAAAAGACACACTTGGGACATCTTGATGCCAAGTTAATAAATCCTGAGGAAAATATTTAATGTTGGAAACACAGATATAAACTTGGAATGGCCTGAACTGGCTCTACTCTAATGAACTGTGACATTTAATTCATAATAGCAGAAACTGCAGCTTAAATCCTCATTAATCAGAACGGAACTAAATCACAAATCACAAATCATGACTTTCTCATTCCCAAGAAAGATTTAAAACAATAATACAAAGAAACTCACAGTAGGACACACTGTTTTGACATATCTCACATGCTTTTATTTAGCAGGGCAGGGAAGGAAAGAAGAGAAGAAAAATTAATCCCAAGCGAACTTTAAGTCCCTATTCTTACCTAAGTGGCACTTGACTTTTTATGTGTACTTGTGCATGTATGGGAGTGTGAGTAATCAATGCTTTTTAAAAAGACTCTATCAGAGAAAGCACTTCCTGGCATGAAGTACATGCAGAGGACAATGCACAAACTCCAGGAAACTATTGTTTCCCACCCTTTTCTCCTGGTCCCCACTTATTGACTCAGCATGAAGAGGTTTCTAAGGCTACTGACAGAAGAGAGGAGGACAGCATTTCAAATACACAGGCATTTGTTTGCGCATGCAACATCCCGGCAGTGTGCCCTGAACAGCAGCTAGCTGTCTGCAGCAATTAGTCACTATACACACAGGTAAAAAGGACACACTATGAAATCAAGTTCACTGCCCCCACTCAGCATGAAGAGCAGATAAAGTCATCCTGCTCCTAATTCAAGGCTCTTTCCTGCAGTTAGTGCCTTTCTTGCATGTTCTTGTAAGGGTTGTTAGTGATTTCAAATTTTCTGAATTAACTAAGGGAGAGTTAGTAAGACAAGAAGATAGAATTCCCAAGCAGTCCGAAAGTTCCGTTTAGATGGACAGCTCCGAGAGGACAAATGTGTAGAGGCCAGAATCCGCGGTTGTTTAATCTGGGGGAGGTTGAGTGAACTGCCAGTAGGCTGGAAGAAAGTACTTGGGGGGATGGACACGTTTTAAAACTGGATTTTGAAGATGGTTTCACAAGTCTATAAATTTACTACAAAGCATTGCACTATACCCTGACAATGAGTGGGTTTTATGGTATATAAATATAACTCAATAAAGTGGAAAAAACATAGGTATTGCCATAGTTACAGATTTTTTTAGTTTGCCAAATTGTATAGGTATTTAAATGCCTATCTTTCTACATTAATTTATCTCTCTCTTTTTTTTTTTTTTTTGTTTTTGAGATGGAGTACTTGCTCTGTCGTCCAGACTGGAGTGCAATGGCACCATCTCAGCTCACTGCAACCTCTGCCTCCCAGGTTCAAGCTATTCTCTTGCCTCAGCCTCCCAAGTAGCTGGGACCACAGGCGTGTACGACCACACCTGGCTAATTTTTGTATTTTCAGTAGTGATGAGGTTTCGCCATGTTGGCCAGACTGGTCTCGAACTCCTGACCTCAAGTGATCCTCCTGCCTTGGCTTCCCAAAGTGCCAGGATTACAGGCTTGAGCCACCGCACCCAGCCACACATTAATTTCTTTTAAAACATTTATTGTGTGTTTAATAAGAATAAGATATTGCCTTGCTGGTAGGAAAAAGTACCCCTAATGCATAAACCACTGAATTAAAATTTTTACCAAAATTAATGCTAACTTTGTTCTTCATCTTTGAAGTCCATATATGTATGTAGTTTTTGAATGGCTGAGACTCATTGTAAAATGTGGTAATAACATGTCTTAGAACGTGATATAGCCAGCTAAGGAGTAAAACGTAGGTACCTTATGTTTTCCTGAATATTCTAGTCATAAGCTTTCCTCACCTAATATAATACCACTTCATATCAATTTTACGCAAAATTAAAATTTTCATCTCTACATTCCAGTAGCAGTGAGTGTGTGGTTTTGCTACAATATTTATTACTCTCCCTTGTTTGTGTCCACTTCTTCACTAGCCCATATGCTTCTTAGGGCAGGATTTATGTCTGATATTTATGTGTGGTTCCAGAGATTCTTGCACAATATCTGACATCAAGTAGGTAAGGAATAAATGTCCGTTCAGTATGTGATTTTATTAACAATGGCTTTATTTTCTCAATGGTATAGAAAGAAACTACATTGCTACCTCTTTTCCTATTTTCTTTTTTTTTTATTTTTTATTTTATTATTATTATACTTTAAGTTTTAGGGTACATGTGCACAATGTGCAGGTTAGTTACATATGTATACGTGCGCCATGCTGGTGTGCTGCACCCATTAACTTGTCATTTAGCATTAGGTATATCTCCTAATGCTATCCCTCCCCCCTCCCCCCACCCCACAACAGTCCCCAGAGTGTGATGTTCCCCTTCCTGTGTCCACGTGTTCTCCTTGTTCAATTCCCACCTATGAGTGAGAAGATGCGGTGTTTGGTTTTTTGTTCTTGTGATAGTTTACTGAGAATGATGATTTCCAATTTCATCCATGTCCCTACAAAGGACATGAACTCATCATTTTTTATGGCTGCATAGTATTCCATGGTGTATATGTGCCACATTTTCTTAATCCAGTCTATCATTGTTGGACATTTGGGTTGGTTCCAAGTCTTTGCTATTGTGAATAGTGCCACAATAAACATACGTGTGCATGTGTCTTTATAGCAGCATGATTTATAGTCCTTTGGGTATATACCCAGTAATGGGATGGCTGGGTCAAATGGTATTTCTAGTTCTAGATCCCTGAGGAATCACCACACTGACTTCCACAATGGTTGAACTAGTTTACAGTCCCACCAACAGTGGAAAAGTGTTCCTATTTCTCCACATCCTCTCCAGCACCTGTTGTTTCCTGACTTTTTAATGATCGCCATTCTAACTGGTGTGAGATGGTATCTCATTGTGGTTTTGATTTGCATTTCTCTGATGACCAGTGATGATGAGCATTTTTTCATGTGTTTTTTGGCTGCATAAATGTCTTCTTTTGAGAAGTGTCTGTTCATATCCTTTGCCCACTTTTTGATGGGGTTGTTTGTTTTTTTCTTGTAAATTTGTTTGAGTTCATTGTAGATTCTGGATATTAGCCCTGTGTCAGATGAGTAGGTTGCGAAAATTTTCTCCCATTCTGTAGGTTGCCTGTTCACTCTGATGGTAGTTTCTTTTGCTGTGCAGAAGCTCTTTAGTTTAATTAGATCCCATTTGTCAATTTTGGCTTTTGTTGCCATTGCTTTTGGTGTTTTAGACATGAAGTCCTTGCCCATGCCTATGTCCTCCTATTTTCTATAGTTGAGTACCTAATAAAGCTCAGTGGAAAACATCTCTTGGGATACTCATTGGTTTCATATGAGATAACATTGAAATAGGGTTTAATCTAGATCTTTGCTGTGTTATAGGAAACCACATGTAACTAAATCTAAATTAATTGAAATTTAAAAATTCATTCACACTAGCCATATTGAAAAATTATCAATAGTCATCTGTTGTTTGTGATGACTTCATTGGAGAATGTAAAGATATAAAATCTTTCTGCTATTACAAAACATTCATCCTATTGGATAGAATTTGTCTGGATCCTTATCAATATTGTTAAACTAATCTGGATTAAAATTAATTGACTTTAAGCCAGATAGGACGATCATCCTTGGACATACTGGTGTATATTCCATGGTCCCAGATCAACAGGAAGATATTAAAAGAATGACAGATCGCCACATCCCATCTTCTTTCATACTCCTTTCTATCTTCACCATATGTTATCAAAAACGATATATAAAAAGTACAGAACACTTTCAAAACTAAAATTTCTATCTACTTATTAGCAAAGTTCTTAGTAAAGTAAAAGGAAAATCAGGTTAAATACTTTATATATCGCTGTTTTTAAAGAAATATATCACTCTTTTTAAAGAAAATGTAAAAACATGGCCCATATATATATTGTATGGATAGAATAAATATCATTGACACATTATGAAAGGCATCTTAAGAATACATTTGGCAGGTCAGGCGTGTTGGCTCACGCCTGTAATCCCAGCACTTTGGGAGGCCAAGGCTGGTGGATCACCTGAGATCGGGAGTTCAAGAACAGCCTGACCAACATGGAGAAACCCCATCTCTACTAAAAATATATATATAAAAAAAAAAGCCGGGTGTGGTGGTGGGCACATGTAATCCCAGCTACTTGGGAGGCTGAGGCGGGAGAATCGCTTGAACTGGGAGGCGGAGGTTGCGGTGAGCTGAGATCACGCCATTGCACTCCAGCCTGGGCAACAAGAGCGAAACTCCACCTCAAAAAGAAAAAAAATAAAAGTAAAAGAATGCATTTCACCTCATGCTCCCAGATAAGTATAAGCATTATGAAAACCAGAAAGGGAAAACTGGCCAAAAAAAAAAAAACACTTTTTTTTTTCCAACACCTCAATGACTCCTGATGTCATTGAGGTTTTGAAAAGATTTTTAAAAATAAAACTTGGTAATTATATGGCCAATTATTTTTTTGTAGCTCTTCATGCTGAGGCTATAAAAAAGGGTAATAAAATCCCAGCTGTACTGTGGCAGGCTGATACCTTCACAGGGGGAATGCATGTTCTCGCTTTCTTTGTTCTCATTCTTTCTGACAAGAGTCATTACATATATTTCTGTATCTGAACAGAAACATCAGGTCATGACCACCATTGACTTCAGGGAACAAAATGTTAAGGCAGACAGGTAGATCTACTCTTTACACACAAGGAGTGTATTTAGAGCACAAACCCTCTATTGCTGGAAAGAGTAAGATCTATGCAATGCGTTCCAATTTAAAGTTGGTAAGTTTTTTGTTCCAAGTACTGTAAATCATTTATCTCTAATCTTTTTAATAATCTTGTAAAGAAGGTTTTATCAGCTCCATTTTGTAGATAAGTAAAACTAAGGAACAGAGAGGATAAATAACTTGCTCACAGTCTTGCTAACAGGTAGTAGTATTAGGACTAGAATTTAGGTCTACCTGATTCAAAAACCAAGATCATCTCTCGTTTCCCCTTTGAGAGACAGCGAAGATGTGTTTATATGTTTCCATTTAGAAATAAATATTTTATTCAAAACAGTTTACGACAATTAACATATGATTGTTTGAAACCCGAGACATTCAGACTGATTATAGCACTTACTATATTATTTAGGATCAGTGCCTCTGTCTCCTTGAAGTGTTTCACAGAGACCCCCAAAGACTTAGAGCCAACCATGAGGGATGTTGGGAAGGGTGACTACATCCTTGGTAACCACCTCTAAATATTAGTCTCACATACTACAACTGAAAGTAGTCATTACTCAATTCATCTGTGTATTTCTTTCCTCCTTTACAGACTTATATTTAACGTGTGCTTTGTGCCAGACACTATGCTAGGTACTGGGGGTACAATCCTGAAAAACAAAACCACCACCACAAAAAAACATCTTTTCTCCCCCGAGACTGTATTTAGGCACCAGCCAAGGTGAGGTACGATGTCCAGCTGCTGAAGAAAGTGGAAGGAAGTCTAAGCAGTGATCTGTACGGGGATTTGTTCCCTTGACAGGAAGATTGGCTTAGAATATTTGTTTTAACAAAAGACCTGCTCAGATTTTAGTATTAGCCTGGCCTCTCGTACATGTCAGAAGAGACCAGAAAAACAACATCCTCACTAAACTATGTTAATCGAACTGCGCCTGTTAGATTTGATTCTCAGAAATGTCAGGAAATTAAACACAGAGTTCCCATAGCAGCTCTCCAATAAAGCGTTTTGCTTCTAAGAGGAGTCAGAGTACGATTAAGAACCATGCCTTTCCATTACCTTCTTTTTTCTACCCCACCCCACTCCTTTCAGATTCTCCACACTCCTGTATGCTTCTTTGAGAGCAGGCTTCTGGCAATATCTAAAACGGAATTAGGAAAAAGAAATTACGGAGAAAGTAAAAGAATCATACTTTTAAGAATCAAGTCCAACTGCACGTTTATTTTACTATTACGCTTTTTCAAGCCCATAGATGTATTAAAATTATATATTTTAAGAAAAGTTTATTATATAAACCTTTGTTCCTGAGCCTTAAAAATATCTGTCCTATGACATCGAAGATTTCCTGTGTTTTCTGTCACCCTCCATCAACTGCCTTTGAATTTTAAACTTATCTGACAAAGAGTTGGGATATTGGACTACACAGTTCCAGTTAGGATGTTTTGTTACCTAAAATCTCTAACATACAAGAACGTAAATCTTATCAAAGTGGTTTTTTGCCCTCCAATGATGTTCAACCCCACCATATCTTTGTGAGAGTTAGAATAAAAAAAGTCCCTCTTGATTTTAATTTTTATACGTTTATTGAGGTACTATTTATTGTTATTTATGTTTATTGAGGTATTATTTATTGTTATTTATGTTTATTGAGGTATTATTTTATTATTATTGAGGTACAGCAAAATATATTATTTTTAACGTGTACAGTTATATAAATTTTACAAAAACAAAATAATGTGAGCATGACCATCATAAAAATAGAAAAGAGTTGCATCACTCCCGAAAATCCATTTATGGCCCTTGGTAGGATTTTAATAGACACCTTTAATTAATCACAGTTTGCCTTTAAATACTATTATACTGCCTCAGATGCAGTTTAAAACCCTTAGAACCATTTAACCTCAGTTTTTCCTTTATATCTTTTGTGACATTGTTGTCATTCTCACATGCTACTAATCAACAACACATTGGTATATTGCTACTATTTTTGCTTTAGACAGGTCAATTATTTATTTTGTTGAAACGGAGTCTCATTCTGTTGCCCAGGTTGTAGTGCAGTGGTGTGATCTCAGCTCACTGCAACCTCTGCCTCCCAGGTTCAAGCAATTCTTCTGCCTCAGCCTCCCGAGTAGCTGGGATTACAGGTGCACACCACCACACCCAGCTAATTTTTATGTTTTGTAGTAGAGACCGGTTTCACCATATTGGCCAAGCTGGTCTTGAACTCCTGACCTCAGGTGGTCCACCCATCTCAGCCTCCCAAAGTGCTGGGATTACAGGCCTGAGCCACTGCACCTGGCCAGGTCAATTATTTTTGAAAAGAATTACAATAAGTAAAAATGTGTCATATTTACCTTCATTTTAACAATTTTCAGATTTAGTTATTTCTTAGTGTAGATGCAAATGTCTATTTCATGTACTCTTTCTTCCATAAGAACTTCTTTTAACATTACTTGTACTGTGGTTCTACTGTTAATGAATTCTATCACTTTTCGTTTGCCTAGAAATGTCTCTATTTCTCCAGTGTTTGAAAGATATTTTTACTAAATATAACATTCTAGATTAACAGATGTTTTTCTTTCAGCATTTAACCTTTGGCTCTCATAGTTTCTGATAAGTTTGCTATAATTATTTTTTGTTATTTGTTTATTTGTACGTTTCTTTTTTTTTAACCGCCTTCAAGATTTCCTCTTTAATTTTGGTTTTCAGCAGTTTGAATATCATGTGTCCAGGTGTGTGTGTGTGTGTGTGTGTGTGTATTTATCCTGCTGTGGTTTTTTTGAACTTTTGGGCCTAGGATTTTATGTCATTATTAGTTTCTGAAAATTATTCATTGTAATCTCTTCACATATTTTTTTGCTTCATTCTCTTTCTTCTTACTGGATCTCAATTACCTGTGTTTCAGACCATTTGATAGTTTCTGCCATTCTTCCGTTCTCTGTGCTGTTTATTTTTTTGCGACTTTTTCAGTGATACTGTAATTCTCCCAACCATTGGAGACTTCTACTGGTCTAAGCAAATGAAGATTGTTTGCATCTCCTCCAGTGATAGTGTGTCTGTTTTCTTTTCCCTTCCTGAAGCCACAGTCAACTTTTACCTTTGCTCCATAAGTCAGAGGATTTTCTGCCATTTTTGGAGTGAATGAAGACTCTTGTTTCATAGGAGATACAGAAATGGCTGTGGGCTTAAGCTTTTTCCACTGTGGTCTTTTCTCCCTTTCTTGAAGCCTGCACCACCAGGCAAGGATTTCTTTTGTGTCCAATTTTATACAACCACTTTTTCTCAGCACCACTTGGTGAGTTCTGTGGAGAAAAAGAACCTGTAAATGGATATAAATTACCCTTATGTCTACAGCTTCCAGGTGTTCCATACTTTAATGCCAGACATTAACAATTCATTCACCACTTCACCTGAATTCTGCTTAGCAGTTTCTACGACAGCTGCACATTTCTCTCCTGCTCTACAAAAGGTGATTTAGTGTCCAAATTTCATTTCCCCTTGCTAATACCTACTTTTCCTGAGATTTCAGGATAGTTGGCTGCCATGTGACCTGGGGTCTTTATTTTCTGGAAAATGTATGATTTTCTAAATTATCTTTGTTTTTTTCTTGTTATATTGGAAGTAATAGTCTTTCTAACTTTCTACATCTTAGGTGAAAGCCAATAAATAGTAATACCTCTTGACATTGTGTTTAAGTATTAACTTATCAGAGTTAGAGGATTTACCTAGAAATACAACCATAAAAGTTGTTAAGATCCACATAGTTTTGGGATTTTTCAGAATCCTTTAGATAGCACTTAATATCTGTAGTGTGATATTCTGTCAGACATAAAGAATATGGAAAACATACAGAATTTCACTAACTCCAAATATTAAATATGTAAATATTTTGAGAGCCAAGGTGTTACAGTCTTGCCAATGCACCACCATGTCGCAGTTTCTCGTTGCCTGACGTAGTAATCCAGAGTTATTTGTCTTATGACCAAGAAAGTTAAGGAGTGTTAACACGAAGGGTGAGGGTGGAGTGAAAGTTTAATAAGCTAAAGAAGAAAGCTGTCCGCTGTGGAGAGGAGAACTGGAAGAGGGTTGCCATTTTTACAGTTGAATGCAAAAGCGTTTATAGGAAACCACTGAGGGCTGGGCATCTCATTTGCATAAGGCCTAAGTTTCTGGTAGCTCCACCTTGTCCTTCTAATGCACATGCAGGCCCTTAGCTTGAGTTACTCCATAATAGCTTTGTTCCCTTTACCATTCACGTGTCAGGGAATGGAATTTCCCCATGTGGGCGTATCTGAGCAAGTTGCCTATGTAGCTTTTCTTATCAGTACAGCCTTGGGCATGTCTTAGGCAAGCCCCCTTGTGCAAGTTCCCTTATCTGTGCCTGCAGGCTGTTCTTTGTTCTAAAGGTTTCAACCAAGGACCCACCCTAACTGCCCTCCTGATCAGGTTTTTTCCTTTCTCCTCTGTCAAAGATAGTTTCATTAAATGCAAGGGCTATTGTAGGCCAAGTAGTTTACAAATTCCATGCCTAGACCAGGAACATGGCCTATGAGAGTTTCAGAATGCCCCAGAGTAATCTTTTTGAGCTGTAAAGTTCCTGTTATAGAGAGTAATGATATAGGAGTTAAGAAGAAATCATTTAGGCAGATAGTGAGGGTACAGGAGTCCTCTGCAAGCTTTTCCTTTTAATGAAAAGCAGCCCCCAAATTATTTTCTTTTCTTATAAAGAGCAGCCTGTAAAATTGAGCTGCAAACATAGACAAGAAAGCTGGAAGCTTGCAGGGGGCACTGTTGGCAGTTGTGCCAATAGGAAAAGGCTGCCTGGGACTAGGCATGTTTAAATGGCGACCCCATGTTCCCTTCTCTTTGCCAGCCATGTGTGCAGTAAGAAGCAGACAAGAACGGAGCTGGCCAAGTGGAAAGTCCATTTGCATAATAAGATGAGGGTGGGGCAGCCAGCCTTCCCTGTGCTATGTAAATGTCACACCTGTTCCAACCAATCTGTGGGCCCTACGTAACTCAGACATTGCCTCCTCAAGACTGCCTATAAAATCTGGTGCTCTCCACCACAGGCCATATTTTGCTTTTGGAAGCTCCTCTTTCTCACAAAGGAGAGAGCTATTCTCCTTTCTCTTCTGCCAGTTAAACTTTGCAGTCATTAACCTACCCATGTGTGTCCGTGTCCTTAATCTTGGTGCCAGATGACAAACCTCAGGTATTTCCCCAGACAACGAAACCGCTTCATTAATGGCAGTTTAACATGTTCTAGTAAGTTGGATGAAAGGAATCTAGTCACAGTCAGTATAAAAAAAATTGTTTAATAAGTAATCCCCATTAGGCAAGAGGAAATTGTCCTCATAGAAATTAAACATCCATTAACCCCAAGATTTAAAGTTCAGTCTACAAGTATTCAGGAGAATTAAACATTCTTTAATTCATACTTTAATATAAAACTAAGTGCTCATTTTGTATTTTATTTACTTGTAATGTTTAAGAGACTTCAGCTTGCTAGTATTATGGGGAGCCTTTGATTCCAATTTAAACTTGTTTAGAAAATAATTGCTCTAGTTTTATGATTTTAAGTAAAAATCTTATTAAGTTAAAATACACTATTGAACATGTAATAGAACTTGGTTTCTATACTTATATGTTTAATTTTACAAGGCTAAAAGAATTACTAAGTATTTGGGAAGTTTTATCACTCAGATCATTGGAACACTTCTTTAAAATGAAAGTGACAATATTTAATTGGTAAATGAGATTTAATTTTTAATGGCATATAATTAAGGTTTTTAATGGAACTGAATTTAATAAATGGTCTCTTTAAAGTGTTAGAATTTTCTAGTAAATAAACAGCAAGATTTGTAACCAGAATTAAAATTTTTAAAGAAAAATAAGACTTCTGAATGTATGACTTAAATAAAGTATATATTAATTATTAAAATAAAACTGATCTTTTCTGCACAGGAATAGGTTACATTATTAAACACCAAAAGTCATACATTTCTCAGTTTTAGAAGGAAGGAGAATGTTAATACAATTCCTCAAATATGTCATGAATTTGGGAGAACTATATATGAATGAATATGAGTAAGTACAAGTTTTGTAGTAATTGATGATAAAAGGAAGAAAAGTAACACGACATTGCTATTTTGAATAAGTCTGATGTCATAGTATCTTTTTTTTTCCCTTAATGAGTCAAGAAATACTAGCTCCTAAATATTTCACTGAGTAATCCAGTGAATGCAGCTAAACTTATTTTAGGTACAGATGGTTAAAAATACATTCCTTCTCTGCTTATTGGCATTATTAAATTTGCTATAAAACCTGTTTTTCCACCAGCTGCAGATCATGTAAAGGTAAGTGTTTATACAAAACTTAGCATAATATTGTGCAAACTGCATGGGCTTTAGAGTTGAACCTGAGGTTTGAACTTTGACCTGCCCTTTATTTAGAGTTGAACCTGAGGTTTGAACTTTGACCTGCTCTTTATCACTTGAGTTAGTTCACTTCTCTAAATCTCAGTTTCTTCCCTAGAAAGATGATTACCCCTACTTTAGATATGTGTTGGGAGGGGCAAATCATATAATATACAAAACATCATGTTCAGCAGATGGCATAGAATTGGTATTTAACTAAATAGTAACATTTGTTCCTATTAGTTTTATGGTGTTGAAAATTTTTTTAGGTAGCTTGAGTTACACTTATGGGATGTTCCTCTGGTCAAATTTCTTAATATCTGTAAGTCTAAGTTTTCTCAGTAACAAAGCTGATAAAATAATTGTGTATGAATAAAATTATTTACCTACATATAAAAGTTTTAGTACTGTGCCTCAATATTGTAAGTATACAGATATTATTTATTATAATTAATTTTAATATAGAATCTTTTTAGTACTGTGCCTCAATATTGTACATATACAAACATTATTTATTATCATTATTAATTTTAATATAGAATATTACAGTTTCTTAAAGTCTTCTGTTCTTTGGCCTGGTGCGGTGGCTCACACCTGTAATCCCAGCACTTTGGGAGGCTGAGGCAGGCGGATCACCTGAGGTTGGGAGTTCAAGACCATCCTGACCAACATGGAGAAATCCCATCTCTACTAAAAATACAAAATTAGCCAGGTGTGGTGGCACATGCTTGTAATCCCAGCTACTTGGTACTCGGGAGGCTGAGGCAGGAGAATCTCTTGAACCGGGAGGTGGAGGTTGCGGTGAGCTGAGATGGCATCATTGCACTCCAGCCTGGGCAACAAGAGCAAAACTAAACTCTGTCTCAAAAAAAGTAAAAATAAAAAAAGAAAAGAAAAGAAAAGAAAAAAAAGGTCTTCCTTACTTTTAAACATGTTGTTTCACCCTTAGCATATAAATCTCCAGCAGGAATCTAGTTACATGATGTATTTGTCAGTATGAGCTCTTGTAATAATCAACCCTCAAATTTATTAGTGGGTTCTAATAATACAGGTTTAATTTTTGCTCATGCTACATAACCAGTAAAAATCAACAGGAGGCTCTTTGCTCCATTAGGGACCCAGGCTGATAGAAACTGTACTATTTGAAATGTTGTCAGTTTCTCTGTCAAGGGAAAGAAAAGCTCTGAATCTAAAAATGGTTCCTTTTCTTCTACATCTTACAACTTTTATTCTCTGGGCCAAAGAAAACTGCATGTCCATACCCAACTTTAAATAGGTGGTCTAGTACAAACCTTCCATGGACCTAGGATATGTGTGAACTCACTTAATGACTACGACACCTTGTTTCAGGTATAGCAAATATCTTTTATGCCATATTATAAATTAAAGAGATATATTTATAAAATTTTGTAGCTTCAATAAAGCTGTTCTGACACTAAGCATGTCAGATTTTGTCATTTGAATCTTGGGCCCTTATGCAAAATATCAAAAAGTTTAAAAAGATCATTATTAGTAGTATAATTACAGATGAAAAAAGAGATAATTATGCTGTAGTTCAACCCGTGTAATAAAAACCAATTAAATAATTTGTAGCTTATCCTTGCAGATTATAAATAAGTAAATATAGTTGCATCTCTGTGCATGTATGTTTATAGTTTTACAATAAATGGGATCATAATGTATACAAACTATTTTTATTATTCCATATTAGTAATATTGTAGAAAAGATTTTTTTTTCCTGTAAATAGACACACTTCTTATAAGTACCACGTACTAACCAATTGCAACACTGGAGCCAAAAGTAAATAGACACACTTCTATTAATCAATATCGTACATACATTTTACATGGGCTGCATATTTTAAACATTTCTAACTCTTATACAGAACTCTACAATAAACATTTTGGTATCTAAATGTTTTTACATAATCAAAATTGTTCATTAAATTTATAGACATATAACTTAACTTCTGGATAAAATGAAAATATATATTGAAAAAAAGGAAAATTTTTTATCACTTTCTAATCTCAACTCAATTTTCTCTGTTCAGTCCTAAGACTGATCTAGTAAGTTCTAAACTAGAGATAAAAATGTGATTATTAAATTTTGATTTAAATCATTTCTTATGTTAAAACCGATTTCCTGATAGCCTACCTCATTATACCTAAACAAGGGGAATTAGAAAAGGGATTGTTGAAAACAGGCAAGAATTGTTCCCAGAGATTAATTCAACATTAACCCATTGAAAGAGAAAACATGGCACTAGGCTTGTTCTTCCTTTACCTTGGCAGCTATTACAACCCCATAAGTCAGGTACAGTTGGGGCAGAGGGTGGCATATGAGGAAAGGCTAAGATTGTGAGAGTTGTTTATTTGAACTGAATGACTTACTACTCAGCTGCATAACTTACCTAGCTCAATGAAAGCTAGTGTGAAGAGATAAAGAATACACAATCCTGTAAGTCCTATAATCTCTGTATAAGACCATTGCACTTCTTCACATTTCTGTAAAGTCATGCCATGCATAAAGAAAGATGCTAGGATTACAGCCAAGATAGTTGACTAGATGTAGCCGGGAAGCTCATCTCCTGTCTGGCAGTTCCTATATCATTTTATTGTGATTTTTAACTTCCTTGGATTGGGTATCATCATACTCCTGCATCTCAGTCATCTTCATTCCTATCCGCATTCAGAATCCAATTTCTGTCAGTGCAGCCATCTCACCCTCTTTCAGAACCATTGCTGGAGAGGAAGGACAGTCATTTGGAGGATACAAAGGCCGGCTTCTGGAATTGTCAGAGTTCATAAGCTGTCTCTTCCTCTTCTTTGTGGGATAATGTTTCTTCAGTCTTTGAAGTTGCTGACCTTTGGATTTTTTTTTTTCTTTTATCCTATTTGATGACCTTGATTGTGGTATAAGGTGGATTCAGCCAACTGGCTTTGTTTCTAGAAGATTTTCAGGGGCCAGTACTCAGCTCCTAACTCCTGAACTGCGTGCTTTAACTCTTGGGGACTCGTATTGAGCCCTGACTTTGTTCTCTGGCACCTCAAGGTTAGGAATCCACTGCACTGAGGGAGCTGAGGGGCTCCCAGATTGCCAGTCACTACACTTCCATGGGTGGCATCAGCCAAATCTTTCATAGTGAGTTGGCAGCGGGATCCATCCTGGTTTGCATGTGTCAGCAGCAGCAGGAGCTTGGTGGTGTCCATACTTATTGGCTGCAGCAGGGTGCTGGTGGGTGCCATGGTGCCTGCTTCTGTGTGGGTGTTCACCACAGTGGCAGGGGCAGCACTGCTCAGGGTATGAGGGCCCCAACTGGCAACCATGCACATGTTTGCACTGATGGTGTTGTTAGCATGGGGGCAGGTTGCTGGTGGGTACAAGTCTATGTACACTCTCTGCACTGCAGGCAGGGTTTGTCTCTCAGGGCAGGGGAAGGTCTGCAGTTCTCTGTGCCTGACTTCATTCCCATGACAGAGTTGGCAGAAGGGTGGGATGCTGATGGGAGTTGGGCTGCTTGGCTCTGTGCCCACCAAGGCTCTGACTGCATGGCAGTTTGGCGGAGGGAGGAGGGGCAAAGTGCACTCCCACTGTAGCAGTGTCAGGGCAAGGTGCACCCACACAAGCATGCTGACAGGGCAAGGAAGGCAAAGCCTGCTCGTACACAGATATGCTGCTAACGTGGTGTGCCTAGGGGCAGTTTGTGGAGGGAGTGGGCAATTAGTGTATGGCCATGGGGGCTGCCCCACTGGAGCTCTCCATCAGTCAGGCATGGTCCAATGGTGCAGGAGCTGTGATGCAGTCCCCTAGAGAAGGAGCCACTAAACCCCAGGCCCTGGACTGGTGCTGGTCTGGGGCCGCACAACAGGAGGTGAGCAGCAGGCAAGAGAGCATGACTGCCTGAGCTCCACCTTCTTTCAGATCATTGGTGGCATTAGATTATCCCAGGAGAGTGAATCCTATTGTGAGCTGTGCATGCAGGATCTAGGTCGCATGCCCCTTATGAGAATCTAATGCCTGATGATCCAAGGTGGAACGGTTCCATTGCAGTTCCATCATAAAACCGTTCCCCGCCATCCCCAGTTCACAGAAAAATTGTCTTCCATGAACCTGGTCCCTGGTGCTAAAAAGGATGGGGCACCTGACGCTGCCATGCAAGCAGACACGGCCAGGCTGGGGCTACGGAATTGGCCAGGAGACCAAGGGATGCTCAGGTTGGACTGTCCCCATCTGATGGGCAAGGCCACCCTGAAGAGTTCAGGTCCAACAGTTCCCCTAGGGCTAAAGCCTCCTATTGGAGCAAGTCAAGCCTAGGGAGATGGGTAACCCTGTCCATGTTCCACTACAGATGCTTCTGCACCAAACCCTCTGGGCTCTGCATCAGCTGATGTGATGTCCCCTACCACTTCTCTAAGCAGCTCTCCCTGCCAAATTGAGTGTTCTTGGTGGTTAAGGGGTCGCCTCCTGCCGGGATTTCTGAGGTCCCTTGGCAAGAGCAGGTTGCTCCATGCCAGTTCAACTCACCCATTACCCTGGAGTCATTGGGGATCAGGAATGAGTTCCAGTACATGATAGCCTTGTGCAGGGTTCTAGGCTTCCTCCCCCATTAGCCAGCTTCTGTGTCTTCACTCTGAAGATCTGTTAGGAAGCACGGCAGTCATTTTGATTCCTCAGTAGGAGCTGTTCCACTTGGCTGTATCTAGTTGGCTATCTTGCCCTCTGCCAGAAATAGCCAAAATTCAATGAAGTTGAGATATGAAAATCCATTAAAAAGATCAATGAAACCAAAAATTGGTTATTTGAAAGAATAAATAAGACTAATAGATGGCTAGCTAGACTAATAGAAAAAAGAAAGAGAAGATACAAATACACACAATCAGAAATGGCAAAGGTGACATTACTACTGATGCCACAGAAATACAAAAACCCTCAGAGACTATTATAAATACTTCTATGCACACAAACTAGAAGCCCTAGAAGAAATGATAAATTCCTGGAAACATACAACCTACCAAGATTGAACCAGGAAGAAACTGAATACCCGAATGGACCAATAATGAGTTCTGAAGTTGAATTGGTAATAAGAAAGCCACCAACCGGAAAAAGGCCTGGATCAGACAGATTCACAGGTGAATTCTACCAGACATATAGAGAAGAGCTGGAACCAATTCTGCTGAAACTATTCTAAGGAACTTATGAGGAGGGACTCGCCCCTAACTCATTCTATAATCCCAGCATCATTCTGATACCAAATCCTGGCAGAGAAAGAACAAAAAAAGAAAACTTCAGGCCAGTATCCATGATGAACCTATACACAAAAATCCTGAACAAAATACAACCAAATAGAGTTCAGCAGCACATCTAAAAGGTAATCCACCATGATCAAGTAGGCTTTATTCCTGGCATGCAAAGTTGGTTCAAAGCATATGCAAACCAATAAATATGATTCTTGACATAAACAGAACTAAAAAAAACATATTATCATTTCAATAGATACTGAATAAATTTTTGATAAATTTAATATCCCTTCATGTTAAAAGTCCTCAACAAACTAGCCATCAAAGGAACATACCTCAAAATAATAAGAGTCACCTATGACAAACTCATAGCCAACATTATATTGAACGAGAAAAACTG
Organism: Homo sapiens; assembly: GCF_000001405.40. NCBI lineage: Eukaryota > Metazoa > Chordata > Mammalia > Primates > Hominidae > Homo > Homo sapiens. The sequence continues at coordinate 9,817,881 of NC_000010.11, read as the reverse complement.
GAAACATTCCCCTTAAGAACTGGAAAAAGACAAAGATGCTCACCCTCACCACTCCTATTCAACATAGTACTGGAAGTCCTAGCCAGAGTAATCAGGCAAGAGAAAGACAAAAGGCTTCAAAATAGGAAGAGAGAAATTCACATTTTCTGTCCATACAGACATATGCCAAAAGCAATGTACAGAATCAATGCTATTCTTATCAAACTACCAATGCCGTTTTTCACAGAATTAGAAAAAAATTAATCTGAAATTCATATGGATCCAAAAAATAGTCTGAATAGCCTGAATTGCCAAAGCAATCCTAAGCAAAAAGAATAAAGCTGGAGGCATCATACTACCTGACTTCAAATTATGCGACAAGGCTAGAGTAACCAAAACAGCATAGTGGTGGTAGAAAAATAGACACACAGAGCAATGGGACAGAGCAGGGAGCTCATAAATAAATCCCCACACCTACAACCTTTTTTTCTGATCTTTAACAAATTGACGATAACAAGCAATGGGGAAAGGACTCCCTATTCAATAAATGATGCTGGGATAACAGGCTAGCGATATGCAGGAGATTGAAAATAGACCCTTCCTTACCCCATATACAAAAATCAACTCAAGATGGATTACAGACTTAAACATAAAACATAAAAATATAAAAACTCTAGAGGCAAACTTAGGAAATGCCATTCTGGACCTAGATCTTGGCAAAGATTTCATGATGAAGATTCCAAAAGCAATTGCAACAAAACCAAAAATTGACAAATGGGACCTAATTAAGCTAAAGACCTGCACAGCAAAAGAAACTATCAACAGAGTAAACAGACAACCTACAAAATGGGAGAAAATATTTGCAAATTATGCATCTGACAAAGGTCTAATATCCAGAACTGATAAGCAAGTTCAACAAATCATCAAGCAAACCTCAAAAAGCCTCATTAAGAAATGGGAAAAAGACATGAACAGACACTTCTCAAAAGAAGACAGACATGTGGCCAACAAGCATATGAAAAAATGCTCAACATCACTAGTCATTAGAGAAATTCGAATCAAAATCACAATGATATACCGTCTCACACTAGTCAGAATGGCTATTAGGTCAAAAAATAACAGTTGCTGGCGAGGTTGTGAAGAAAAAGGAACACTTTATACAGTGCTGGTGGGAATGTAAATTAGTTCATCCATTGAGGAAAGCAGTTTGGAGATTCTTCAAATAACTTCAAACAGAACTACCATTTGATCCAGCAATTCCATTACTGGGTATATACCCAGAAGAATATTAATTGTTTTCCCATAAAGACACATGCACGCATATGATTATCACAACACTATTCACAATAGCAAAGACATGGAATCAACCTAAATGCCCATCAAAAGGGGGCTGAATAAAGAAAATTTACATATACACCATGGAATACTATGCAGCCATGAAAAGAATGAGATCATGCCTTTGCAGTAACATGGATGTAGCTGGAGGCCATTATCCTAAGCAAATTATTGCAGGAACAGAAAATCAAATACCTCATGTCCTCACAAGTGGGAGCTAATTTTCAAATATATATGGACACAAAGAAGGGAACAATAGACACCATGGCCTACTTGAAGTTGGAGGGTGGAAGAAGGATGAGGATTGACAAACTACCTTTTGGGTAATATGCTTATTACTTGGGTGATGAAATAATAGGTACACCAAACTCCCACAGCACACAATTTACACCTGTAACAAAGCTACCCATGTAGTCCCTGAACCTAAAATAAAATTTGGAAAGACAAAGAAAATAGAACGATACCTTCTGCTTTAATGCCAGAATGTAAATATTATACCAAGAAATAACTGTTAAGAATTAAAATGATTCCAGAGGTGTGGTATGATGTTACCACAGAGTTGAAGCTTGATAGAACTGTTTGAAATTTGTTTGTTTATTCTTTTGTTGGTGCTTAAGATAAATGTTCACTTGATCATGATTTGAGAGTGTAGCAACAGTGGGGAAGTTGGAGTGGATCTATGGGGAGGGAATCTAGATGACACTAGCATAAAAATGACCAATTCTCTTTAAAACACTTAACTGTGAATAAACGGTCATTTTCACACAGTTGATTGAGTTTTTATGATATTCAGTGTTTCTAAGCACACATAGCATAAGTGAGCTATAAGTCAAGAACATGGTTAATTCTTATCACTGAGTTCTTAGCCAGAACTAACATTTTCTTTTCTACCAACTCTAAAATTTTATATAATTTCTTATGCTTTGTCATACATACACTGTTTCCCAAAGTTTTCTGAATGAATGAAAAGTATATGGAATAAATGGATATATTAAATTTCAGAAAGTAGATGGTGTGGGTGTGGGTGACATTTTCTGCCAGGGCAAGTGGATTTCTTATTATCAAGCCTGAAATAAGCAGGGTCCTAGTAATTATACCACACACACACACACACACACACACACACACGTACATATGTACATACATATATATGCAGGAGTATATGTGTATGTATGTATGTGTGTGTGTGATATATACGTATTGCATACATCTGTAAGGGGAAATACTTCATTAATTTAGTGCATAAATCTGAAGGAGAGAATATCAGAAAAATTACAGAATTAAATTGGTTATGTGTGTGTGTGTGTGTGATGTGTGTGTACATATGTATTGCATACATCTGTAAGGGGAAATAATTTAATGCATAAATCTGAAAGGGAGAATATCAGAAAAATTACGGAATTAAAATGTGTTTGAAAATGGTCAAAGTCTGTAAAACTGGGTTCTGGATTTCACATACTTCTATTATGTGTAAAGAAACTTTTGGAATCTGTACCTAGTAAATCTTTCAAGTGCATCTGTTCTTAACATTTCAACCTAATTCTAAATACATAATTTTCAAGTGATATAGGAAGGCTCCAAACTGCTTTTGCTTCCATATTACTAAAAGGATATATACACATCTAGTTCAAGAAGGTTGACAAGAACATGCTATTTTTGTCCACAATAAACAAATTTAGTTATGATGATAGAAACAATGTATATAAAGAAAGTGCATTTAAAATATGGATAAGAATGAATGAAAGTACATCAATGAAACTGCTATTCTGAAAGTTTTCTGGATAACAGAAAATAAATGGAATTGTAGTGTTTAAATATATAAAGAAATAAAAACCTTAGAAATGAAACCATGACTCAGAACAGACACAAGAAAAGGTCAGAGTTGAATTGAAGACATTTCTCTGTGGGGTGGAGCTATGAACATGCTCTAAACTTGGAGTTCCCAGGCAAGATTATTTCCATCATCCATAATCTTGTAAAATGCCTTATTCACCATCATAATACTGCTCATAGCATTGACTTTAAAAAAATTTTATTGTTAAAGAAAATTAAGTCCTGCAATGAGCTGATGCTTGTGGAATTTACTGGTCTCACTAGGCTACTTCATCATCCTGAAATAACTGCCCTGATAGGATGATGCAATGACCTTTTGAGGACACATCTGTAGTGCTATCTTGGTGACAACATCTTACAGATCTGGAACAAGTTCATATGTCTGGGAAATCAAGACATGCTAATGGAAGTGTCTCCTCCGTTCCTCCACATAAGTCATTAATACATTTTTGTTGTTTCCCATCTCTACAAATATATGTTCATATGGCATAAAAGTCTTAATTCACAAGGAAGGAAGGACATTACCAAGGGGCACATCGTTCCATGTAACTGGAAGCAGTGGGATATGAAATGTGGAACCTGCCTGCATTGGAATCCTCATGCCAGTAAAACCACAAGGAGAAAGGAGGATTACTTTAATCACTGGGTGGATTGATCCTGACTATAAGGAAGAAATTGGATTGCTAAGACATAACAGAGGTGAGAAACAGTACGTCTCAAATGCAAAAGATTCCCTGGGGCACAACTTGACACTTCCATGTGGTATGATAAAAGTTAATGAAAAAGTATAATAATCCAATGCAAGAAGGACTGCAACTATACAGAGCCTTCAGGAATGAAGATTTTTTTTTTTTCCGAGACAGAGTCTCACTCTGTCGCCCAGGCTGGAGTGTAATGGCACAATCTCGGCTCACTGCAACCTCTGCCTCCCGGGTTCAAGCGATTCTCCTGCCTCAGCCTCCCAAGTAGCTGAAATTATAGGCGTGTGTCACCATGCCTGGCTAGTTTTTGTATTTATAGTAGAGACGGGGTTTCACCATGTTGGTCAGGCTGGTCTCAAACTCCTGACCTTGTGATCTGCCTGCCTCGGCCTCCCAAAGTGCTGGGATTACAGGAGTAAGCCACCATGCCTGGCCAGGAATGAATATTTTAAACACTTTACCAGGAAAGGCACCTCAGCCTCTTGTTTGCTTCCAAGAGGTAAAGAGAATATGAATGGACAGTGGAAGTATTAAATACCAGCTATGACTTCGTGATCAATTTCAGAAATGAGGACTATAATAATTAGATCTATTACTTTTCTTATTTTGATATAAAACATGAGTACATTTAATCAAATTATTTTTTATTTTTCAATATTCTATTTCCCTACCACCTAATAACCTTATGTCTCAGGATTTATGTTGCAGGAAACCAAAGGGAGAATGTGACTCTTAATACAAGAGAAATCTCTCAAAGGTGGATAAAGTTAGCCTTGGGAGTTTGTAGATCATTTTGGGGAGAGGTTAGTGTGTTTGCATTTGTATGAAGGGTTATTGAACCATATTATGCAAAATCACGATTTTACTAACATCTTATGAAGTTAGGGATTGTTAAATGAAGAGTGAATAGATACTTGACATTTTGACAGGGATATACTACTGTATCTTTGTACCGGGTCAGTTTGACTAGGCTAAAGTTACATTTTCCAGGTTTCTTTTTACCTTGTGGTTCTGATTTAGGGTGGTGGCAAGAAAAATTTGTGTGAGAAGTACAAGGGGGAAATGAAGCAGCAGCCATTTTGCTTTGAAGGCATTATGAAATCCACATATGTTGGGATTTGTCTGTTGCTCACCTTAGCCTGGGGCCACAGCCAGGTCTGCAGCTCCTCTAACACCTGCATCTCATCCCCTTTATACTCCCTGAGTCCTGGGACAGGTGCGCGTGTAGCTTTGTGGCTAAGGAAACAGCTTCTTTTGCTGGGTACCTGCATCTCTTGAATTTGGAGGTGGTAGGAAACAGATGAGGGTTTCAGTTGTCCTTGGGGGTTCTGACCAGGTTTCATGAGTTCCATGTACACTTATGTTTGTTACTTTCCACAAATGCATCTCTACTTTTCCTTCCTGCCACCAGCACTGCTATCTCAGAGCAATATTATGATTCCTACAGATGCTGAACAATCAGCTTTCTATTGATCCCGACATGTTCCCAGGAATTCGTAAGTCTGATTCCCTAAGCGAGATGTAATATTCCCCATCATTCTTAGTGAATTTGCTTTTCTATCAAACTGTAATTGGTATAAACAGAATAGATAAAAATTTGCCTAACTTACAAACGGAGTGATAAAAATTTACAAACCAGGAAAACTGGGACCTAAACATTTAAAGAGGAAATATTGAAAGACATCGAGAGGAGAGTTTGAAAAATTCTATCCAAAAAATTTAAAAATCTAGATGACATGGATAATTTTCTAGAAAAATACAATTTGTTCACTCAAATAGCTTACTGAAAACAATTTCCATAAAATAAATGATAAAGTTCACAGAAAGTTACCTGGATCTCCTTGAAAAAGCACCAGAATAAAATAGTTTTTCAGGAAAAATATATCAAACCTTTAAAAGGAAGATAATTTTAATGATATTTAGCTTTTGAGAGCAAGAGTTTGCAAGTTTTTCGCTGTGATAAGTGAGATAATAAATAATATAGGCATTGCAGCCCACATAGTGGTGTCTATCACAGATTTTTCTTTTATTTGTTTTTTTACTTACAATTTTTTAACAATGTAAAAATAATTCTCATCCTGAGGCTCTTACAAAAACAGCCCACACTCTGGATCCAGCCCAATGGCCACAGTTTTCAAACCTTTATTGTAGAGCATATAGAAAGAAAAATGACATGTACATAGACCACATTTTCTTTACTCCGTCGTTGACAGACATTTGGATCGGTTCCGTTTTGGCTGTTGTGAATAATGCTGCAGTTGTGAATAATGCACAAGGGAGTGCTGGTGAATCTTCCAAATCCTGATTTCAATTCTTTTGGACATTTTTCCATATGTGGAATTGCAGATCATGTGGTAGTTCTATTTTTAATGTTTTGAGGAACCTTGAGACTGCTTTCCACAGTGGCTACACTGTTGTACATCCTCACCAGTAGCGTAAAGGGTAAAGGGTTCCAATTTATCTACATCCTCTCCAATGCTTGTCATCATTAAAAAAAAAACTATATGTATATGTATATATGTGCGTGTGTATGTTTGTGTGTATATATATATATATATATGATAGCCATTCATTAAAAAAGAAAGAAATCCTACCACTTGCAATAATATGAATGAACCTGGAGGCCAGTATGCAAGTGAAATAAGCAAGTCACAGAAGGACTAATACTAATACTACATGATCCTACTCACAGGAGGAGTGTAGAATAGTCAAGCTCATAGATGGAAAGAAAATTCAAACCTTTAAAAAGAAGATAATTTCAATGAAATTTATCTCCCCTATGAATAATAATTTTAAAATCCCAAATAGAAGATTAGAATCCCGAAACTTGAAGCACATTTAAAGATTAATATAGCAATTTAGCCAGACACAGTGGCTCAAAGGCACAGCACTTTGGCAGGCTGAGGCAGGAGGATCACTGGAGGCCAGGAGTTGGAGACCAACTTAAGCAACATAACAAGATGTCATCTCTACAAAAAATTAAAAAAACAACCAGGTGTGTTGGTGCATGCCTGTAATCCCAGCTATTCAGAAGGCTGAGGCAGGGGGACTGCTTGAGCCAGGAGTTCAAGGCTGCAGTGAGCTATGATCACCCCACTGCATTCCAGCCTGGCTGATAGAGCAAGACGCTGTCTCTTAAAACCAGCAAATAAAAAACAAAGATGAATGTAACATGAAATCAGAAGTATTTTCCTCCCAAGAATGTTGGGATGGTTTGGTTTTAGAAAATATATAATAAAATTTGTTATAATTATTTACTGAAAAAAATGTTCATCTTCAAAAAAGTTAAAATCATTTGATAAAATTGAACTCTCATTCTTGATTTAAAACCATATGACCATGCTGAAAATCCAAGAAAAATTACTGAAAAAAACCTTCAAACAATAGAAGTTTTCAGTAGATAATAGAATATACAATTAATATAACACTTTATAATGCAAAGATTAATAAATTTTACTGCATAATTAAAAATAAAGTTATAAATTAAAAAATCACCCTGAACAGACTTAAAAAATTAGTAAAATTCTGCAATTTATAGAATCAAAAATTGCACTAATATGTAAAAAGTTTCTATAATTTGGTAGGTAAAAGACTAATCATCCAATGGAAATAAGGACAAAAGACACAAAAAACAGTTAATAGTAATAATAGTAAAAGAGAAGTAGCCCTTAAATATAGAAAACATACTAAATTTCAATCCTAATTGGAGAAATGCACAATAAAACTTCACTAAGTGGTATTTTTTACTTGTCTGATTGGCATAATTCTTAAAAGTTTGACCATCTAATGGTAATGGGGCTCTGAGAATACACATCCCTTACTACATAACTGCTGGGAATATAAAACTATACAACAGCTACAGAAATCAATTTGGCAGAATATGTGATTTTCTCAACGCCCTTTGATCCCAGTGATCCCAGTTATGGAAATTTATTCTATGTGTATACATGCACCCAGATGAAATAACATATATTCAGGATATTATTTAGAGATGACTCAACAAATGATAGTCTCAATCTTAGCTATTGTGTTGAATTTTGAATCTTTGTTGGAACAGATCAATGCAGCTTATGGAACCCTCTATGGGGTATTCTTTTCAATACCTTTCATGCAAAAGGATCAAGTCTTACTTTGAACAGACAGGAGCATTCATTCATAGTAGTGCCTCAAGGTGATTGAATTTCAGAGAAATTACTGTGTTTCTTTCTGACGCACTACAATGTGAAGGGAGCTTGATTATTTGGATATTCTGAGAACATTGCACTCATCTGAGAACATTGCCATGTTGATGCTATGATGTTAATTATACCTATGAGAAGGAAGTAATGGATTCTTTAAGTAACCTGATTAGGTCCATTAGTGCCAAGGACCCAGTAAATGACCAGTGAAATATCTGCCTTATTGATAAAGGTTTTAAGGGCCAGCTGTTCTGGGACATACTGAGATATTGCCTCCCAGGTGAAGGAAATTCTATTTCATCATTAAAATCCTACCACTAAAAAAAGACACAGTGCTTATTAGGCTCTTTCAGGATAGGAGAACATCACATACCCAGAAAGCTACTGGGGGAAAAATAGTTAAGGGAATTCAGTCCACAGTAGAAACGGCCTTGCTGTTTAGGATCTAGAAAGTGATATATCCAGTATTGCTAGAGGAGATAAGGGAACTGTGTGGAATTTTTGAGAAATACCAATAGGACAGTGACAGAGCAGATCTCTGAGATTCTAGAGCTAAGTTGTGACTTCTGCATAAGACAGTTCTTCGGCTTTAGAAAACCACTGTGAAATATGCTACTGTAGGGCCTTGCAGAGACAGCCTATGAAAGGCCATCAAATGACTAAGCAACCAGAGATGCCTATCATGAATTGTTTGTCAGTTCCACAAGTTGAGCATGCCCAGCAGTATTGCATCCTATGGTCACAATGCTATTTTTTAGATTGTCTCAGAGGAGATTTGGAGGACACAAGAAAATTATGCATATGAGTGGCCCAGAAGAGATGGAGGATGGAAAAACCTGAACGTGATTCATGAATGAGTGGATCTTTGTCTCTTATATTAATACCTATCAGAGAGATTCACTGCAGGGAAAGTATTGAGTGGTATCTGTTCCCAGCTGTCATAGTACTTGCACACAGGCCCAGGAATAGAATATGCAAGGGGTCAAAGATGGAGGGTATGCAAACATCTAAACACCTGAGTCCTCATTATGGCTGATCCAGCTATTGAATTTACTGAATATCTAACTTGTCTGCAGCACAGACTGAAACTATTCGTTTTCTTAATATAGTCTCTTTAGGAGAGCAATCACCCACTTTGCCAAAAGGTACATTGGACTTTATCTTCCCTGAAGACAAAGGGATTATTACTTAAAGTAACACATATTCTGAGATTATAGATTTTCTTATTTGCCCACAGTACCTGGACTGGCATCTTTCAAAGAGGGCTAAAAGTGTCTGATTTGTTATCATAGGGTCAGCACCCATTTGTTATCATGGGATCATCACCTTACATGAAGAAGATGAAACAAGGGACATTTGACCATGGGACTTATTGGTCCTAACATATACAGCATCATATGGAAACTGATTTCCGAGAAAATGTTAGACTTTTTAAAGGCACAAATAAAACTCTGCCTTAGGGAGATTCCTTGTGGGATTTGGATGCTGACATTCAAAATGCCATGTATACTTTAAACAACAGCTGTTTTGTGTTTTATACCCAGTAGATAGAATACATAGGCCTAGAAACTAAGAAATATAGGTAGAATTGTCCCCATTTACCATCATATCCAGTGACCTACTTTCATGCATGCAACTAGTTTCTGCTTCCCAAGAGGTTGTTTTTCTTTCAGAAGACACAAGGGTTCCACTATAGCAAAGTTCATGCTTATCAACCAGTCACTTTGCATTTCTTGGGCCAGAAGATTAGTCTGCAATCAAAGGAGTTTACTCTATCGGAAGGGACGATTGACCCTGATTATTGTTAGGAGATAAGGATACCGCTACATTATCGGACTGAAAGGAGGATGTCTGGACCCCAGAGGATTCACTGGAGGGTCCCATGCCTGCTGATAACTAGAAATCAGCAACTGCAGAAACCACAGTCTTTGAGTGAGTAGACCAGGTTATTAGAAATGCTGTTCTGTGATGAAGAGTTTAGAATATGTCACAGAGTAGACAGATGATGAATATAGTCATCTCTCAGTATCTTCAGGAAAATTCTTCCAGGACTCTTTGCAGATGCCCAAATTTACAGATGCACAACTCTCGTAAAATGACATAGTATTGGCATATAACCTACGCAATCGTCCTATGTACTTTAAATAATCTCTAGGTTACTTGCATTATTTAATCCAGTGTAAACGCTATGTTAATAGTTGTTATGCTGTATGGGCTTTTTATTTGTATTTTTGAAATTGCATTCTTATTTGCTTTCTTTTTTCAAAAAAATAACACATTCCCACTTGGTTGAATCCTTGGATGCAGCACCTGTGGATACTGAGGCCCAACTGTCCTCATTCCAGCAATATGAGACTCTAACTTATCCCAGTGGCTCCCCTGTTTTTATGACCCTCTTTGTTTCAATTTTTAAAATTGAATTATATCCAACCACCACCTTGAAAAATTAATGACTGTGGAGTGCTTTTGGTGCATGAGTGAATCTAAGCAGTGCAAGGGGTAGACTGTAGTGGACACTGTCAACCCATCACTCATCTGTGTTCCAGGAGCAGCCCTCAACCAATGACTAACAAGTTCATATACAAATATCTAGACCCTTTGCTTGTGTTTGTTACTTATAAGGCACATATGTAACACTGGCTTCCAGAGTTCCTTCTTTAAGATGAAGTTCCTGTAGCCTGCAATGGTAACTCACTTGAAAATACACACTTTATTGGTAACTTTTCCTTTTTTTGGCTCACTTCTCCACTCTCCTGTCTCTGTGTTCTTTCACCTTCCAAACAGACTCCTTGTCCTTGAATGTCTATCAGGATCTACTTCTAAGGGAACCCCAATGAAAGTAGATCTTAGTTCTTATTTTTGATGGGCAGATATCTTTTTCATGTCTGTGTTCCTCTAGTTTAGGTGAAGTTGTCATTTGGTTGTTTGCAGATCTACAATGGAAACCACACTAAGGCTTATTTTACTGAAACTTTTTCTTCCCTCCAAATTAGAATTATTGAATAGTAGATTCGATTACATTGAGATTTACAAGATGGCCAAAGTGTCATCAAGCAAAGGTCATTTGGGTTAAAAAATGAGAAGGAACTGAGAGAAATTCAGGAGCACCAGGAGCTTACAGCTATTCCTCATCCTGAAATGCACTTTACCCTCCTCTTCGATGAAATAGTGCATCTGTTTTTTCAAGGTCAGTTCAGCTTTTCCCTCTCCAATGAAACCATCCGTTAAATTCCAGTTTTGGTGTACTGTAACTATAAATCCCTATATATTAATATTTTCTGTGCCACTGATTTACCATTTAAGAACAGAAATACAAGAGAAAACTATTAAGAATGTAGATGAGTTCCATTTCCCCCAGTTGTATATAATGTATTAATATACTATGCTCTTCCTGAGAGCAGGGCAAGTTGAAATGTATCTCTGTGTCTTTCCCATGTTGATTGGACTTTTAAAGTTCTTAATTTTTTTATTACTGATTAAAGGAAGATATTTTGATGAAGATTGAATCCTAACAAATTTTACAATGAAAACTGTCTATCTTTCTGAGCCAAATTTTACTTTTGGAGCTTCTAGGGCAAAAGAAAAATAACATCAGGTCTTCATAACTGGCATCCCCCTTTGTTTTATGGCCTTCCTCTGGATGTCCATAGCTGCGTCCCTTGCAGGGTCACTCTGAGGCTAACTGCAAAAATGTGCTTTAGAATTCCATGAACATCTTGGGCGAGGGCAAAGGAGATGATGATGATGACTTCACTTCAAAGTATTACTGATATTAAAACCTATATATCTTGTGCCATGCTAGAGGATAGTACCTAAAAATACAATTGATAGCATCATCTTAGCAGCAATTAAACCCTAAAAAGCACAAAGTGAGAATTTCTATTTTAAACCTAAGTGTATTTTCTATGACCTGTCTCCCTCAGTTCGACACATGAATGACCTGTTCTCGGTTATTATACACCATAGGGATGCTCTGGTCCCAGAGTTCAGAGTCTGCTGGTATACTGGAGAAAACAGATCAAGCATTAATGTGTGACTGTGGTTTAGCTTTGCAGGGATATTGAGTTCCACAAATGGAAGAACATTTTTAAAAAGACATCCAAGAAATTATCAATGGCCACGTTGCTTCTTAGCCTTTTGGTTAAAATCAAGTGAAGAAATTATCAGTGACTTAAGCCAACAACCAATAATGAAGAAGTCAGTAGTTTTCCTATACCTCATGTATTTTTCTTTATGTATGTTAGTTTTTATAAGATGTTATGTGACATATGATAATGTACATTATAGACATTTTTAATTTAGAGAGAGACACCAAAGCTGCTCAAAATAAAGGAGGGTTAACATCTTTTCTTTCAAGTTCCCTGTGCTGTAGCCAACTTGGTGTAGAACAGAATTCTGGTTCCTCATGTGCTTGTTAACTTAGATATGGGGTTATCTTTGGCACTGCAGTATTTATTTAGCATGTGGAGGATCCCCTAATGTTTAGGGCAGTCATTAATACTTCAGAAATTTGTATCTGCTTTAACAGGTTTCCATTTTTAAAAACTGCAGCCACGTTCATCAAAGAAAAACTCTGGCCAGAATTGCCCAGTTCTTGACCTTCTGATTTCCTTTAGTAAAATATTGTATTTTTGTGCTAATAAAAGAGAGTACAAAGTCTGTTATTTTTAGATAAGGTTTTTAAGATAAAGTTTAGCTTACTCTACTTTTCATATCATCTTTTTTCCAAGTAATTAAAAGTAGGGACATAAAGTAATATTTCTTAAAAGCGATGATATATTTCCCTTTCTGTCAACTAAATAACAAAGCTATTATTATTAACCTTAATCATCATTTAGTGTTAGTTTTTACTTTTTGACAGACTGTACCACAGAATTCTTTTAAATAGTAAATATTCATCATACAGAATTTTGCAAGATGACTTACTTTACAGAAAGTTATCGCGAATTAAGTCAGAATGTGCACTGTGTTTTTTTGTTTTTGTTTTTGTTTTTGTTTTTTTCCGGAAGCCATCTTCATCTGTCCTGGCCACACTGATCTTATTTTTCTAGACTGACATCATTCATCTGTGTAGCATCCAATGAGAACTGGAGCAGCATTCTTGGTAATAAAAAAAAAAAAAGTAAGAAAATCTCTCTCAGTCCAATGCATGCAAATGGCCCCAGTCTTGATTCCTTAGGCAACAGACGTAGACTAGAATTCCAGTATGTTTTCCCTAATCTTCCTGTGGTCTTTATTCTGCTCTGGGTCAGTCAGATTTTCTTGTCATTTGAATAAAACCCTTATCTCCTTCCTTCTGATGGTTTTCCACAATAAGTGCATTTTCTCATGGGACATTCACTTATTGTTATACTTTATAAAAATGTGGATATTAATGTTTTCTCAAAAATATTATCAGCTCTTATGATACAGGCTATTTTAAATTCTTCTATTGTATTTTTCAAAATTTTAATGTACAGAAGTATTCAGAGCACACAACTGATGCTTTTATGTTTAATTGTATGAAGTGTATGTAAAGGAAAGAATACACCTGTGTTGATTTGTAATGTATTGCTCTTAGTGAGACAAGTTTGTTTTGTCAAATATAGTTTTTATTTAGAAACGTAGACTATTCTCATAAAAATCTATACAGAAAAAGAAATTAATGATAATAATTGCGCGTTTCTGGTCACGAATCTGTTGGCTGTGAGTGTTCTTTAGAATTATTTTTACCATTTTTTAATGTGTTCACTATTTTTGTATTTATTTCCCTGAAAATTCTGTATTTTTTTCCTGTATTTTATGTGACTTAACTACTTTTAAATTTTAATGTATCATTGATTTTAGCCTTCATGACTTATGTTTTATATTTGATTTAATAATTAACAATATTCATGGAGTTATCCTTTTTAGGTTTGAGACAAAATGAGAGGAGTAGTATTTGCTTGTATTTAACTCCCACTTAGAAGTCCTTAAGAGTTTTACATTTTTACGTATGTATAAGGTTTGAGGAAAGAAGTCTGTGTCTACCCAGGTGTCCTTTTTTAGTTGTAAATATATTAGTTTAAAATTATGTTTCTGTGTTATTTATCCCTTAACTATAAAAAATGTGAACAGCCCAAATGTTTCATCCCATAATCAGTTTGCACATCAGTCTTTTCTATTCCAATTGATTCTCTCTTAAAACCATTTCTTGTTATCTATAAGCCACAAAATCAACAGATTTTACTCTGTGAATTCCAGATAACCAACTTAACTCTACAACCTTGTTCAGCTGAGAGTTCCAGTCTGCATATTACTATGTGCTTGGGGAATTCTCCTTGACAGGTCAGTTTCTTGATAACATATGCTAAAATTTTAGATCTTTTTCTTCTACAACATAGCAGTATTGCAAAGCCCTTATCTATCTCTCCTGAGAATCTAATGCTACTTCTTAACTTGCCCTGTACATGCTGTGAAACCAAACTGCTATAATACTATGTTTTTTTTTTAATGTAATGTTTGGATAATCCTACATTCTCATTAAGAAGTGTGCTTTAACAGACATCAAATCTCAAGCACCTACATCCTCTTCATCAAATACTTTTCTACTTGCCATTTATAATATAACTTACATACAGCCTTATCTCTGGGCTCCTGGAACACCATTTGCTTACCTCTCTCATAGGAAAAAATATATTACACTGACATTATCTGCTTCTGTACCTGTCTCAACTTTTTGAAAGTAGGTTCTTCAGTAATAGAGACTGGACTTATTAATTTCTATATTCCAAGCACTAAGCAAATATTTGTTCAATATACATTTGCTGAACTGAATTATACATTTGAATCTTGGCTTCAGATGGAGTAAAACTTGAAATAAATCATCACTTAGATGGGTAGGAGACACTGCAGACTGTACAGCAATTCAAGGTGATGATATGACCCAATAGTTCTCAAGATTATTTGAAAGAAAATATACTTGAAACTCGTAATGCTTTTTGAGAAACGCTATAAAAATGACTATACATGCCTTCTAATTTATTGCTAAGTTCCACATTGTTTAAATGAAGTAATGAGGACATCAATACTTTCAATAATATAGATTTGGGGATAAAATGACTTGAACTTGTCACCAGAATATTTTTAGATCTTATGCGAGCAACATGTTTCAGGAAAGTTGTTGGTTGCCCAAATATATTCAGTGTGCCAGTACTCCAAGCATAATGCTTGGAAGTAGGCAGTAGGTACTCCTTTTTTTTTTTCTTTTTAGTTTTCCTTAAGATATTCTTTCATGATGCTCTGTGAATTAATGTGGCCTGTAAGCTTTGTTTTAAACCCTTAAATGAAATTGTGATAGATATTATGATATTGAGTATGGGGAAGGATAGATTATTTGACCAAGTAGACAAAGTTATTATACACTGAATTAAAAGAAACCAAATCAGTTCACTTCAGTAAAGCCCAGACGTAATACTGAGGAAAAGTCAAAGTAATGAAAGTCTTATGTCTGGAGCATTACTACCTAACACTTAGAAATTTTATGCAAGATTTTCTGTATTAATGAAGATAAATAAGTTAGATGGATTTTTAGTATTCATTCTTCTGTTCTTAATTTGTGCAAACAACTTTAATATTGATATCGATGTAAGTCATAAAAAGTATATAACCAACATCTTCATAAAAACCCTGATTTTAACCTGTTATTCTTAGAAATTTGATTTTGATTTGATGGATTTTAAGTAAGATCCCAGTTTGGGGGATCAAGCAATCATAAAAAAATCAAGATTTTTTAATGTATCAGAAATAGATAGGTTTGCATATGTTAATAGTAACACTTAGAAACAGCAATAAAGATGACTTCCACTTCTGGCCAAGTTAGAGAAAGAGGGTCTAGATAATTTATCATCTGACATGAAACAGCTAAAATACCAGACAAAATATATTAAATTGTGATTTTCAGACATTGGACATCAGAAGATGCTGGGTGGTGATCGTTAAGAAAGGGGAACTAAATAGGGTGAGCTTAATGATTGCCCTAACTTACTACCCCAAGAGAAGCTCCAGGCTTCTACTAGATATGCAAAAGATAAAGGGAAAGCAATCAAAGAATACTACTACAAAAGTAAAAATCATCAAATCACTAAGAAAGACATGAAGAGAAGAGGAAAGGAACAAAGGACCAAACAACATCAGGAAACAATCAAGAAAATGGCTATAGTACATTTTACCTATCGACAATCTCTTTAAATGTAAGTGGACTGAATTCTCCTATCAAAAGGCATAGACTGGCCAAATGGGTAAACAAAACAAAACAAGATCCAACAATATGATGCCCATCTATAGGAGATTCACTTTAGTTTAAGGATATTCATAGGCTGAAAGTGAAGGAATGGATAAAGATATTCCATGCCAATAGAATACAAAAGAGATCAGTAGTGGCTCTACTTAGACAAAATGGACTTTAAGTTAAAAACTGTCACAAGCGACAAGGAAGATCATTATAGAATGATAAATGAGTCAATTCTTTAAGAGGATATAACAGTTGTAAATATATGTGCATCCATCATCAGATCACCTAGATATAAAAAGCAAATATTAACAGATCTGAAGGAGGAAATTGACAGCAATATATTAACAGCTGGGGATTTCAGTACCCCACTTTCAACAGTGGATAGATCATCCAGACAGAAAATCAATAAGAAAACCACAGACTTGAATAACACTATATACCAAATAGATCTAACAGACATATATGGGACATTCCATCAAACAGCAGCAGAATACAGGTTCTTCTCAAATGCATAAGGAGCATTCTGCAGGATAGATCATACGTTGGACGACAAAGCAAGTGTCAATTAACTTAAAATGATGGAAATGATATCAAGTATCTTTTCCTATAATTTTATGAAACTAGAAGTCAGTTACAGAAAGAAAATTGGAAAATTCACAGATAAGTGGAAATTAAACAACGCATGATGGAACAACCAGTCAAAGAAGAAATAAAAAAGATTTTAAAAACCCTCAAAGCAAATAAAAATAGAGACACAACATGTAAAAAACTTACGAGGTGCTGCAAAGAAGTTCTAAGAGGGAAGTTTATAGTGGTAAATACATACATCAAAAAAGAAGACAGATCTCAAATGAGGAACCTAATTTTAAACCACAAGGAACAAGAAACATAAGAACAAACTAAACCCAAAGTTAGCACAAGGAAGGAAATAATAAAAATTGAAGCAGAAATAAATAGGGAATAAAAATAAGAAAAATTAAGAAAACCTAAGAGTTGTTTTTTTGTAAAGATAAACACACTCAACAAACCTTTTTTAAGAAAAAAAATAAGAAAACACTTAAGTAAATAAAATGAAATGAAAGAGGAGATGCCTCAGAGATTTTTTTAGATAAAAGGTTAACAAGAGACTATTATGAACAATTATATGCCAACAAATTGGATAGCTTAGAAGAAATTGATAAATTCCTGGAAACATACAACCTACCAAGACTGAATCATGAAGAAACAGAAAATCTAAACAGACCAATAGCAAATGAGATTGAATCAGTAAACAAAAACCTCCCAGCAAAGAAAAGCCATAAGACAAGTTATTAGTATACCTAAAAACAGATTGATGTGACACTCACAACCCAAAAGAAAGGAGAAATGGTTTTATTAATTCAGGTGCAGAGCATGAATGAATTTGAGGAAGTAATAGATTCGTTACTCAAACAGGCAAAGGGTAAAGTTAGGAAATAACAAATCCATTCATGCTTAATAACCTTTTCATCCCTCCTAGAAAAAAGACCAAATTCATTCATGGACTCAATGCCCTATTTGCTCTAACTCCTGCCTAACTTTTAAGCATCAACTTTTTCCCTGATCTTTCCTATCTGGTCTCCAGCTTCACTGGCTTTCTTTATTTCCTGAATGCAACATACTGCCCCTAAAGTTTGAGCCTTAGCAAAAATGTTCTCTTTACCCATAATGTTTTCTCCTCCTCATTTTCTAGTCAACTCTAAATGGTTAAATCTCAACTTAAAAGTCACTTGCGGCCAGGCTTGGTGGCTCAGGCCTGTCCTCCCAGCACTTTGGGAGGCTGAGGCGGGCGGATCACTTGAGGTCAGGAGTTTGAGAGCAGCCTGGCCAACATGGTGAGACCCCGTCTTTACTAAAAAGACAAAAATTATCTGGGCATGGTAGCTCACACCTGTACTCGCAGCTACTTGGGAGGCCGAGGCATGAGAATCGCTTGAGCGCGGGAGGTGAAGGTTGCAGTGAGCCAAGATCGCGCCACTGCACTCCAGCCTGGGTGACAGAGCAAGACTCGTTCTCAAAAAAAAAAAAAAAAAAAAGAAAGAAAAATTACTTGCTTCACCTAGAATGAGTTACTTCTGATATTTAATCTTGTTGCTTTGTGACTTTTCCTCATACGACTTATAGTAGTTTGTAATTATAAATTTTTATAAGTATAGTTGACCCTTGAACAATACAGGTTTGAACTTCATGGGTCCACTTATACATGGATATTTTTCAATAAAAGTCACTCCAAATGTGCCTAATCCTTGTATCTCTCTTCTGCCTTCTCCATCTCTTCTGTCTCTGCCACCACAAAGACAACCCCTCCTCTTCCTCCTTCTCAGCCTACTCAGTATAAAGATGATGAGGATGAAGAACTTTATGATGATCCACCTCCATTTAATATTAAATATATTTATTTTCCTTATGATTTTATTAACATTTTCTTTTCCCTAGCTTTCTTGTAAGAATACAGTATGTAACACATATAACATACAACATATGTGTGAATTAACTGTTTATGTTTTCTTTAAGACTTTCAGGCTGGGTGTGGTGGCTCACGCCTGTAATCTCAGCACTTTGGGAGGCCGAGGCGGGCGGATCACCTGTGGTCAGGAGTTTGAGACCAGCCTGGTCAACATGATGAAACCCTGTCTCTACTAAAAATACAAAAAAATTAGGTGGGTGTGGTGGTGTGCACCTGTAATCACAGCTCCTCTGGAGGATGTGGCAAGAGAATTGCTTGAACCTGGGAGGTGGAAGTTGCAGTGAGCCGAGATTGCGCCATTGCACTCGAGCCTGGGTGACAGAGCGAGACTCTGTCTCAAAAAAAAAAAAAAAAAGGCTTTCAGTCAAGTAGATCATTAGTAGTTAACTTCTGGGGAGTCAAAATTTATTTGCAGATTTTCAACTGCATTGGAGTCAGCACCCTGAATCCCTGCTTTATTCAAGAGGCAACTGTATGTGATTCATACCTGCCTCCTCTATTAAACTAGAAATAACTTGTATGTAGGGACTGTCTTTCTGCATTGTGTCTCTACCATTGACACAAAGTAGGGTCCAAAAAAATTTGTATATTAATAATAAAAAGAAGGGGGAGACCAGCTCAAAATAGAACGATGAAACCAGAATGAATAAAATGAACACAAAAATGGAACATTAAAGTCCAAGATAGACTGAAACGGTAAAAGAAATCTAGAATTCTGGTCCTCTTGCTTGAAAAACATCCTAAGATATTGAAGAAGTTGTCTGAGAGGCAATACAGTGTGATGAAAAGATTTGCTCTTCCCTCCACATAAGTTGGGCATCATGGCCTGGCTTTCTTTTGTCTGCTGTACGCTGCTATTATTATTCTTTACTTTTGCAATGTCCTTTTCCTTCACTTTGACTTAGCTAGGACATGGCTTGCAGACACTCGATGAAAAATAACATCACGAGGGAATAAATCGATGAATGACAATGGTAGAAGTTCTCATCATGGCCATGAATGATCCTCAATCTAAGAAAGAGAGTTTTTAGTGAAATAATGATGCCGTCAAGGTACCCAGTACTCCATGAATCTAAAGCGCAACTCAAGACTTTTGTTGACATCATTTACTTTCTTCAATGGCATGGTGTGTGTCCTGCTGGCAATAGGGAAGCTACTGGCTTAGAAAAAAATCACAGCCCCTGTAACCACAATCATTTTGTGAGTTACAGGGAACACAGATAATGTAAACCTTGCTGCTTCAAGAATCATTAAGGACCTTTTTATAGTTTGTTTAGATCCAACACTTAAAGAAAAAATTAAGTTCTTTAGTCTTTTTTATTAAGTTTCTGATTTAATTTTATTGGCTAAAAACCACTGTGACCCAAGAAGTCAAATTTATAATAGTTTAAACAATTGACTATATCTTTATATATAATTTAAAATGCTTTTCATCTTCCTTATATAAATTTGTTAGAAAAGAAGTGAACTTCATTTTCTGTTTCTGTTCTAGAGTCAGTATTGCTTTGGGGGAAAAAAAAATCTATAGGCTCACAGAAACAATAACATATTAAGAAATTATGCATGTGTGTGTATATATGTGTATATATGTTATATATATTTTTATGTGTGTGAATATATGTGTAGATATGTTATATATATTTTTATATGTGTGTGAATATGTGTGTGAATATAGGTATATATGTATACATGTTACACATATTTTTATATGTGTGTGAATATGTGTGTATATGTATGTCTATATGTCATATTTTATATGTGTGTAAATATGTGTGTATATGTGTATATATGTTATATATATTTTATATGTGTGTGAATATGAATGTGTATATATGTATCTATGTTATATATATTTTATATGTGTGTGAATATGTGTGTGTATGCCTTATTGTGCTATTCCAGAAAGTGTATTGGCTTCTTTTACACATGTCCACTTTTATGTAACCATTTCTTCCTTTTTAGTAGAAAGCCCATGTTTTCAGATGCTACTCTTTATTTTCCTTGACCAAACAATGGATCATCTTAAACACAATAGATAGAAAGACTGCATGAGAGATTCATATGTCACAGGTGAATAAAATTCCCTTCCTTCTGGTTTTTATTTTGGCTGGCAAAAGCACCTAGGATGATAGGTTCTACGTAGAGGTAAGATAGTGCAGCACAGTGATACTTTTTATTACCCGCTTTTTCATCCTATGTAATAGGGATGCAAAGCAAATACTTTATGGAAACACCAACAACTCAAGCTGACATATGCCACAGTGACTTACATAAAAGCAACTCGTGCACAGATGAACTGCTCTTGAATACAGAAGACGGATTTCAGTTCTGGACAGTCAGGGTGGGGATTGTATATGTGATAATAATGACACAAGGCAGACAGAAGCTATTTTTAAAAGAACTGCCTGGAGGCCAGAGGGTTATTCCCAAGGGGAGAAAAAAATCAGCATTACTGTTTTCACTTCTAAGTGTGGAGCTTTGACTTTCCCAGCCCTGCAAACAGTAAAAGCTGAACAAATGTAGATTAGTAAAATATGCCATAGAGAATAACAGGGAAAACATGGCCATACTATTCTGCATAGTCCATTACCTATATATCTGTGGTTAATATCTCTGCTACTTCATGTGGCAAAAAGAAATCTCAATGGATAGAAAGAGAAAATGTACCTAGTTACCTTCAGTCTATTACGTTGTTATCAGTTAGTGCCTTTGAATAACATATGCCCCTAACAAGTATTGAAGTCATAAACAATGCATAATAGATCGGAAAACATATTCACAAACTAATGATATTAAGTCCTCAACTCAAAATACAAATCTTTGGCTCATTCATATCTCTCTACAGTTGGTATTTGAATTCTAATTTTGTTCATTTGAAAATATGGGCTTATCTTTTGGTTTATATTCCACAACAGTTTTGTCTCCCAGTAACCGGATTAAAACAAAAAAAGAAAACAAAAAATTCAGCCCAAACTAGATTACTCTTCTTCCAAATAAGTTTAATTTTATGTAGTCTAATTATTTAATTACTTTTTCTTCTGAATGCTCACATCAAATATCAAGAAACACCTGTGGGCAGGGAAGAGCGTAATCAGGGATCTAGAGAGAATTTCATAAACATAATATACTTCTCAACATGTTTATCTCAGGGGATTCCAGGAACTGTTCATTCAATAGAGTAACATCTTTTATACTAGGCCATCCTTCCCACTCTTCATGGGGAAATCATTGCTGTTAAAATGTTTAATCTCAGAGAAAAGGAAGTTGAGATACAGACATTTTAACTACTGTAAGAATTAAAAGCGGCCGGGTGCGGTGGCTCACACCTGTAATCCCAGCACTTTGGGAGTCCGAGGTGGGCGGATCATGAGGTCAGGAGTTCGAGACCAGCCTGAACAACATGGTGACACCCCGTCTCTACTAAAAATACAAAAATTAGCCGGGTGTGGTGGCATTCACCTGTAATTCCAGCTACTCAGGAGGCTGAGGCAGGAGAATCACTTGAACCTGGGAGGCGGGGGTTGCAATGTTGCAGTGAGCCAAAATCATGCCACTGCACTCCAGCCTGGGTGACAGAGAGAGACTCCATTAAAAAAAAAATTAAAAGCAAAGGTTGATAATGCCTGTCAGAAAAACATGAGACATTTAAAAGTCAGGCGTTAAAGTTACTTTGTGTAGAAATCTGTTGTTCTGGGGAGCTGGATGCAGTGGAATGAGAAAGGACACCACCCCCTCATCTCACTTCTGCAGTTCTATTTTCCGATGCTTGGTTTTCATTTGTTTTAATAAGAAAAATTTTTGCATTGTTTAAGTCACAGTATGTAATAATAAACATTTATTGAATACTTACATTTTCAGCTTAAAACCCAAGCTAAACAAACACACATCAAACTTATAATGATTTGCTTTAAAAAAGCAATGCTATCTACTAATTGCTGTCCTTGTTGGTCACTATTGCCTTTAGAGATCAACTTCTTGAGAGAGTGTCTCCATTCATTTTCTCCAATTAGTTGCTTCTGCATTCTTCAAACTACCACAAGTGAGCTTCTGAGAACGAAACTAAAATCCAATGATCAGTTTGCCAAATATAATTGATGTTTTTATATGGTGATATGTAAAAAATTACATAAATGCTGCATAATTCAGGGTTGTTCTCCCTTCATTTTCTTGCCATCTCCCAGTTAAAAACTGCCAGTCGCTGAGTGTGTATCTTCCTATTCCTTTTGCTATGCATTTATATGTGTATATACGTGATATAGGTGGATTAAACTGCTTTTCATTCCTTGCTCTTTAATCACTTAATATATCCCATAGGTCTTTCCCTGGTGGCACATCAGTGTGGGTGGGCCTACTTCATTCTATTTAATGGCTATGCTGTGGATGCCCCATGATGTATATATGTAGCCTCTTTGCTGATGATGAACGTTTATGGTATTAACACTTTTGGTTTTAAACAATATTTCAATGACTATTCTTAATCGGGGTGATGAGTCATAGGCAAATGCACTTAAAAATTTATAAATATTTCCAAGTCATTACCAAAATCATTCATCTTTTCTCATCAACAGTAAATGAGAGGCTGGGTGCGGAGGCTCACACCTGTAATCCCAGAACTTTGGGAGGCTGAGGCGGGCGGCTCACAAGATCAGGAGATCGAGACCATCCTGGCTAACATGGTGAAACCCTGTCTCTACTAAAAAAAATACAAAAATTAGCTGGGCATGGTGGTGGGTGCCTGTAGTCCCAGCTATTCAGAGGCTGAGGCAGGAGAATGGTATGAACCCGGGAGGCGGAGCTTGCAGTTAGCCGAGATCCTGCCACTGCACTCCAGCCTGGGTGACAGAGCGAGGCTCCGTCTCAAAAAAAACCAAAAAAACAAAAAAACCCAAAAAAACAAAACAGTAACAGTAAATGAGAATTCACATCTGGAATCTTACATCTGGGCTACATTTCTTTGGTATTGACTATCTCATTGTGCAAAATATCTTATTTCACTGATTATCAGTGAAGTCAATCACTTTTCCATATATTCACTGGCCATGTGATACTGTTGCTTTCTCCTTTATAATCTTTGTTAATATATTATAGCATGGTTTGCCTATCATATTGGTTTCTAGGAGATTTTTGGCTTAAAGGAATTTAATCCTTTATGTATTTCAAATTTCTCTGCCATTATGTTGATTTTAAATAATTTTAATGGTATATTGTGTTGAACATGTTTTTAAAAAATTTTATATAATCTGTCAATGCTTTTATGATATTAACACTATGTAACTTGCTTCTGAAGGTCATAAAATATTACTTTATAGTTTGTTCTGCTATAAGGACATTACTTTTCATTATATATAAGTATATGCATATATATACATGAATATGTGTGTGTGTGTGTGCATGTATTGCTAATCAGGGTTCTATTATTTTTCTCCTAATGGAAAGACAATGTCCTAAGCCCTTTATTGAATTGTTTATAATTGCTTAATGATTTTAGTACTATCTTTGTTATAAAAATGAGCATATTTCATAGGTCTGTTTTTAGACTCTCCATTCTTTTGTTCTAACGACTTGTCTATGTCTGTATTAATACTGCATTAATTTTATATCTTAATAATTTATCTTGGTAATTTTGATAACTGGTAGGTCCTGTTTGTCTATACTACTATTATTTTCCAGTATTTCTTGGTTACTTTAATTTTTGTCTTCAATTTAATCTTTGAATTAGCTTATCAAAGTCTCATGAAAATCTCCAATTGGACATTGTGATATACGTGGGATGTGATTACTTTTAATCATTTATTGATATTATTCCAATTACTTATATCACCAAAAAGTTCTCAAAACTTTGTGATCTGTGGTCACATTTTCCTTTTAATTATATACTTCCTATTGTTTTTTGGCAATTTGTTTTATGAAATGAGAGTTGAAGAGTATGACCAGCCCTCCTCTTTCATCTGACTAATTCTCTTGCTTCAATTATGCATTAGTTATAGCTGACCACATCTTCCAAGGACCCCAAAACCTCCCTGATTTCCTCTTATGTCTCTGACATTGTTCTCAGTTTCTTCTTCTAATCACTTAATTTAATCAAAATCCTACTCTGATATCTCCACTGAGAATAGGATTTTTTTAATCTACTGGAAACCTCTACTAAAGTAGCATCTCCAGTTTAACATGTCTGATGCAGAAATTACAATCTTCTCAAGAGATTCACCATCTTAAACCTGTCTTACCTCCTCTCTTCCTTAAGTATCTTAGTGAAAGATACCAGGAAATGTTCCCTCAATTCTTTCTCACATATGATTGTCCTCTCTGCTAAACTTACACAGTAACTTCTTTAGCTCATCAACTCCCCATTGTCCTCAAAACTGTCTTGTCCATCAAGATTCTTTCGCCCACTGCCATAGCTTGAGTCACTTAAAATGCACGTCTGTCAATATAATTTCACTGTCTTTATAAAAAATATTCTTAGTTCCCCATCACCTACACTAAACTATGAGTTTCTTGACCTTGAAGTTATCTGACCATCATCTGATCCTTGCCCATTTCTCCAGGATTATTTGCTGCTCCATCCATGCCTCCATTCCATATCGTTTAATTATATAAATACACTTGCAGATTCCCAATATACAAAACTCTACACGTGTCTCCACCTTTTTCTTGTTGATCTCTGTGACTGGAATGCTTATATTCCTTCTTCTCAAGACTACTTCCTGTGCATGCTCCAAGGCTTAGTCATGGCTAAGTCTTTCATCAATCCTCCTCCTCAGTATGGGGTAGGTGTGCCTCTGTTAAGCACCCTGTAGTAACTTCACTATAGCACTTGTCATTTTCTAATCGTTAGGTTATTTTCCTTTCTCCTCTAGATTCTGAGGTTTTTGAAAACAGAACTGAACCTTTTATCTCAGCTTCTCAGACACCTATCACAGTTCCTATCCCATTTGTGATATTTAGTAAATGTCTAGCCAATAGCTACATAAAATTGAATGGAAGTGACCAGCATATTTGAATGTTTAAGTGAAATAAAATAACCACTCAAGGAGGCCTCCCAATATTAAAGCTGTAATATGGTATGGAAGTGTTCCTGGAAAATCAGTGCCGCTACTGTCAGTATTGTGGGGCAGCTCTGCCCTGCTTAGATTCCTTGGGTTTTGCCTCTGGTTATCAAAAGACTGTCTCAAACATTTAAGACCACAGGGAATCATGGAAAAATGTTACTTGACTTCAGAGATACTGAATTCTGCATCTAAAGTGCTAAGGGTGAAAAACCAGGTTGCCTTTTCCCTGTTTAATGTCTGAATGTTTTCAGAAGTTATTGTAACCAGTGTGGATTCAAAAGAGAATATGCACTCTCATTGCTATCCTACCAAAATTCAGAGCCATAAACCCAGTTTTCTATGTATTTCTTTTTCCAACTTGGGGGAGAGAATATTGACTAACAGGATTGAAGACCTTGCTTAAGATACAAACTGGTGCTGGGCATGGTGGCTCATGCCTGTAATCCCAGTACTTTGGGAGGATGAGGTGGGCGGATCACTTGAGGTCAGGAGTTCGAGACCAGCCTGGCCAATGTGATGAAACCCCATCTCTAATAAAAATACAAAAAGTAACTGGGCATGGTGGCACACGCCTGTAATCACAGCTACTTGGAAGCTGGGGCACAAGAATCATTCGAACCTGGGAGGCAGAGGTTGCAGTGAGCCGTGATTGTACCATTGCACTCCAGTCTGGATGACAGAGTGAGCCCATCTCAAAAAAAACAAAAAAGAGACACAAGGTGGGCTTTTTATTTTCAAACTACCTTTATCACTTCTGTGTGTCAGTAAGGGATATCAATAAGATACTAAAAAGTGGCTGGGCCCAGAGAGGATATTTGATCTATATAATAAACTGAAGAAAAAGTCAATACAAGAAATAAAGATAAATTCAGTGCAGAATAAAAACATGTAAGTTACAGTTACATTTATCTATAAAGATAAATTTAGTGCAGAATAAAAATATGTTTTAGTTACATGGAATATTCTTTTATATCATTTTTAAAGAATAACAGTAATTTACCTCATTGTATTAGTCATTTGATTGATTGATTTTTACTTAGTTAATTCACCTATTTGCCAAAGGAATAGTACAGCTACCTACTTATTCAGAGAAGGCTCTGGAAAGCAGGAGCTTTCCTGTCTGTTTACTTTTTGCCCACAAATTCCCAACCTGCTTCTCCTGGTGATATGGTTTCTATACACAGTGACTTTAGTATAACTTTGACTTCCATTTCAGCAGTGCTTGTGAGAGTTTCATTCAAAGATATTAACATACTACTCTCTTCTTTATTTTTTGTAGAAATGTTCAGTTGTCTAGCTCACAGGGATATCCACAAGCCAGACCCAGAAAGCCTTTGCTACCATTGATGAAGATGCCAAGTCCACAGCCCAACAGCCAGAAGACCCTTGGTCTAGTAAGTGTCACCCTGTAATTCTGTGATCTGAGAGCTCCCAGGAGATGAGACTGGTGAAGAAGCAAGGCTTCTTTGGGTCCCTAGTGTAATCTTGGCTGAGGGAGAAGGGTCCTATAATTTCTGGAATAAATTTAAAGGAAGCTGTGAAATTTCCTGCCAGAAAAGTTGCTCTGTCAGCTTCCATTCTCGTAATATCATTGGCTGCTCGATTAGAGCTTAAACGCTTATGTAGTCCTTCAATTTTGTCAGTTTTCCCTAAATACTTCTTAGCTTATGTCACATATCTACATGTGATGGGAATATACAGTTCGTCACCTACTACTTCAGTTTCCTGCATAATCTGCATCCACACCGAATAACCATGAGCAGAACTCACTAAATGGATACAGACGACTTCTGGAAGGATTTTTCAAGGCACCAGGTGAAATTACTTAAAAGCCAACTGATTCTGCAGACAAGCGTGTCAGCTCCTCTGACACCCCTGGGGATTCACACCCTGGGGAAATTTGTAAATGTGAAACAGAAGCCCAACAATTGTACTGTGCAGTGACAAAAACGTCTCTCTCCCCCAAAAACCTGAGTAGGTGAAGGAAGTTTACTTTGCATCCTCTGATACAAGCATACATCAAGTTGTCTTGCCAAGTAAAGAATGAGAACAAAATGTACTACTTAGTTTCATTATCTTTTTTTGCCTTTGATCATAGGATTCCATGCACTGGATTTTTACGGATGAAGAATAGGAATGTGTTGAGAAGGGATGGGATGGTGATAAAATTAGAAACTGAATGGTGGTTGTATTGGTTCCTGAACCTTGTTATTCCTCCTACCCCTAAGTTCCATTTAAGAAGGGGTCCCAGGAGGTGGGTGACTCTGGCTGTTGGAAAACATAATTAGGCTTGACTTCTTACCTCTCACCACTAATTCTTACCTCTCACCCTAATTCTGAAGAATTAGGTAACAAAACAAGCTCTGCACTGAGAGTCAATAGGCAAGCTGAACTGTTCAAGTTGAAGACCCAACAGACAAATCCCAAAAGAGATTGCTTTACCTTTCATCAGCAGGATGGGAAAGATTTATTGCAATGTTAAAATAAAATGTTGAAAATGTATTTTTTAGGAAGTCTACAGTGATGTTTGTCAATCTGACTTCTGTCTGTTTGAAGAATGCAAAATTTCCATAAGGAACTTACTATTAATAGAACAAACAAAACTTGTTTTTTAAATTCTCCTTTAGTTTAACCTTTTTTAAAACAAATTTGGCTATTTGTCTCCAAGGACTGAGAAAATAAGCCACAGTCTTTCTTTCACACAAGTCTTAGAAAGGTTTTCAATAGTCCTTAACTTTCTAGTATGCCACTAATTAAAATTAACTCTTCGGGGAGACTTTAGAAAAAGTATTCTTAAATTATAGAGGTGCTACCACATGTTAGGTTTTGTTTGTTTATTTAGGTCTTAAATCTCTATGAAACATCACTCTTGGAAAATGTCAGTGTATTGATTATGTTCCAAAAATGATACCATACCCTTTTATTAGACCATATCCAGGAGGCAATGAAAATTTATCTTATCTGATGTGACATTCAAAACAACAGTCTAGAAAACTAGGAGAGAAAAAAAAAATCCAAGAGCTATTTAAAGTACTGGTGTGTGACCTTAATAATCACTTATATCAATTCTGTGACTGAACACTTATTTATTGGTCCTAAGCCTTTGCTTTAGTTAGTAAAATCATTGCAATTAGATAAAGATTAAATATTATATCATATTTTTGTACTATTTGGTGCAGCACCTTTTAAATACTGGACCATCAGTAAATGCTAGCTTATGTTAGTTGTGGAAAGCTCAAATGGAAAGCAAAATAATAATAAAAATAATAATTACATTGCAAAATTAAAGAATGTTAAAGTTGTTAGCATAATATAAGTGATCCAAGTAAAAAGATCTTTGCCTTTGGGAGCCTAATTTAACAATGAGGACCTATTTGATGGCATTGACCATAACAATGGAGAGGGACACAATAATGAAGAGGAGTGAAGTGCACCTGCTAAGTTGTGAGAAGGCAGAACTAAAACCAGCAAATGTAAGACAGAGCACAGCCTTCCTACCCATATCCTAATACTGATATGCTACAGCTTCAAAGCAGAGGCCAAGTGCAGTCAAGAAAATCCTTTTCTCCACAGTTCCCTCTTCCTCAGCTTACCTACTTAGGTTTTTTCCCGTTTCTTTCTTTTTTTTTTTAAAGATCAAATTGGACAATAATTATACATTATAGGCTCCTGAAATAGGTTGAATTGTGTCCCCAAAATTCATATGTTGAATCCTAACCTACAATACCTTAGAATGTAATCTCATTTGGAAACAGGGTGGTTGCAGATGTAATTAGTTAAGATGAAAGTATACTTCATGGACTAGAGGGAGCCTCTAATAAAATATAATCACTATCCTTATAAAAAGGGGAAATTTGGACCCAGATATACATGCAGACCACCAGAGGCCAGGGAAAAGGCATGGAACCGATCCTTCCTCACAGCCCTCAAGGACAACCAACCATGCTAACACCTTGATCTAGGACTTCAGCCTTCAGAACTGTGAGGCACTGAATTTCTGTTGTTTCAGCCACCCCATTTATGATACTCTTTTATGGCAGCCTGAGCAGACTAGTACTACTCCTTTGTATAGACTCCCTAAGTCACATTTTCCAAAGTGATCTGATCATCAGAATTGTTTGTGCAGCTTTTAAAAATATAGATTTTAATGGAAGTTCCCACGAAAGATTCTGATTTAGAAAGTTTGGGGTGGGTCTGGGAATCTTTATTAAAACAAAACCATAAAAACAAAACTAAACAAAAAGTCTGGTCTATGATTCTGATGCAGAGTTGGATTTAAGAACTGCTACTCAAGGGAAAAAGTACAGAGATAATTTTTCCAATGTCAAATAAACTGGTTCTTTGGTTCTAGTTTTTTTCTCTGATTTAGTTGGTGAGCTTAAAAAGTGTTTTCCTCTTCTGGGTTTCTGTTTTCTCTTAGGCAAAATGAGGAGGTTGGACCTTACTATAAAGCACCAAAATTTGTAGTGAATGTTGCTCTTGCCAATATTACTTCCCTAGTTTTGTCAGTGATGAGAACATACAGAATGCTTCCTTCATCATTGTGCACGTGGCAGTCAGTAACAGTTCTACTTCCCTGTGTAGGTCAAACTCCCCATCCCCAGGAAATGGAATCCAAGTTAAAGACGTGTGTGCAGGTGGCTTATTGGAAGGTGAAGCAAACAGGGTAAGCAGAGGGAGAACTTGTATTTCCACAGAGTCTCAACAAGGGCTCAAACCGTTCTCCCACTGACACATGAGCTGAACTAAGCCTTCAAATATTTCCCAAATTGAGGTTAGGGGGCTGGACTTTGGATCACCACATTGATTAACCACTCACTAAATGGGGGTTGCTTTCAGAGAAGGTGAGGAACCTGTGTGAGAAAGCATCCTTCAGTTGAGGACAGCTCCTAAGGAGGAGTCAGGCTGAGAGGTGACAGGAGTGTCTCAGTTCTAAAGATGGCTGGTCTCCTGGAGGCCACCAAAGCACCTCCTGCAGTTTACCTCCTGCACATTGGATTCTACTTGTTTGGGATATTCACCCCATCTGAGAACAGCTCCCCCAAGATTATGTCTGGCCTCTCTTCCTGGGCAACTTAAAAAGAGGAATGTTAGTTGGATAAACTGTAGTTCTTATTGCTTGCAGCTTACAAGCCAACACTTATCTCCTCCCTTACTCTCCTGCTTATTTTAAATTCTCGTCACCCTCAGCTGCCCGCTCTGTTGGTCTATGTGGCTTGCCTAGTGGAATGAGCCACTATCATCACCAAAGCTTTCTCTGGCCATGGCTGCTGCTATAGTCAATTTATCATCATAACTGGACAAAGGAGTATCGAGGAGTCTCCTCTGTGAGTCACCTCAATTCCTGAGTGATTCACCATAATACTTGCTATTCACTTTTATAAGTATGTTCCTTTCAGTATTCCTGAAAGAGGTGTGCAAATTTTACCTATAATTTTTATACTTTTTACTGTTTTTTGTAATGGACATGGGAAAGACACTAAAGTTACTTTATATGGAGGCTTCATAGCTGTGATGGTTAATTTTATGTGTCAATGTGACTAGATCATGGACTGCCCAGACATTTGACTAAACATCATTTCAGGATATGCCTGTGAGGGTGTTTCTGGATGACAATGGCATTTGAATTGGTGCACTCAGTAACACCAATAACATTATCCATCAGTTGAGGGCCTGAATAGAACAAGAAGTGGAAGAAGGAGGAACTCACCCTTTTTGCTTCCTGTCTGACTGCTTGAGCTGGAATTAGTCATTTCTTGTCTTTGGACTGAGACTCACACCATTGGCTTCTCTGCTTTTCAGGCCCTTGGATTCAGACTGAATTGATATCGCCAGGTTTCCTGTCTTTTCAGCTTGCAGGCAGCTGATTGTGGGACTTCTCAGCCTCCTTAATCATGTGAGCAAATTTCACTAAATAATGTAAAGATTGCTTTAGTCAGCTAGCTAGGCTCTTAAATTCTTGAAAGTAAAAGTGATGGCAGGAGTTGACACTGAAGTACTATAACCTGTGACATGGGAGAAGGACTTTTTCTCTTTCTTCTATATAATCTTCACCCAGAATTCTATAAACTGTGACATGGGAGAAGGACTTTCTCTTTTTTCTATATAATCTTAGTCCAGAATTACTTTTGGAACCGGCTAGAAGAATTTCAAGCACTATCTTTTATTGTGAGAAATACAATAATATTAATTTAAAAATCATATACTTTGTATGCTAGATTGTTGCCTAAAGATATCCCAAGACCCCAAAAGGACATAGTTACTGAAAATCGTGTTCAAATACTGGTTATAATTATCAACATTAAGGTCCTTTAATTCCATATTCTGTGTATTTTAAATAGAATCCTCTATTAGGGAACCAGTATCACTCATGATAAGGGAAACAAAATGCGTTTCAAAATGCACATATTTATTTATGTTTTATATGCTTCAGATTCGAGAAGTGTATTCTGTCTTATAAACCGACAAAGCCTTAGAGGATAGCTCCGTGATTTGGTTCATCAATCTATCATGTTAGGCAAAACTTATTTCCAAATGTAACAACAAAATACATGATTAAATGTTACAATAAATAGGAAATATGGTTTCTAGTGAAAATGAAACGTCTTGTGTGTACTATCCTAATAATTTATCTCAAGGCTGTTTACAGCATCTTACCAATCTCAAATTTCCAATCAATGATGAATCCAGATCTTGCGCCTTGCATGTCATCATACAGTTTCCTTTTTATAAGGAAGGGCTGCTTTCATGTGTTACATTTCTTCATGCAAATTACACATCAGGTATGCACTAAACAAATTGGTAAAGTAAATTTTGTTGTGATCTAATTCCCATTTGGGGCTACCATAATAGTGTTTCCTAGGGAAAATATATTTGAGTTTCAAGTGTCATAGTTATAAAGGAAATACTTCCCCTGCCTTCCTTACCTCCCTTCCTTGATTTTCCCCACTCCTTTCCTTGTACTTCTTCCTTCTCTTTCATCCTTTCTTAAATATTTATTGAACATAAATTATGTGCCAGGACCTGTGATGGGCTCCAGGGGTACAGAAATGAGATACACTTCCATTCCTTTAAAGAGTTCACAGCGGGCAAGGTGGGAAAAGAAAAACATAAGCACATACTTACACACATAGATAAATGGGTAACTGCAATACAGTGCAATAAGTAAAATAGCAAAGAAAGATGCAGAAAAAAAGAGGGAAATCTGAGTCCTGAGAAACTTTGCAAAAAAGATAATGTCCTAACCCAACGAAGATGAGGATTTTTTTCCATTTGAGGAAATAGGAACATAGTATTACAGACAGAAGAAAAGGCAGCTCAAAGATCATAATGTCAGTAAAGCATGACGTATTTGGGAACTGCAAATTCCTCATTATCGATAGAACTTAGCTCACAGTAGGAGAGAGGTAAGAGATCAAGTTTCAGAGACAAGTGAGGAAGATCAAACATGTTAGACTGCAAGACTAGTGTTCCCAAATTCGATTATATTGGGAAAAAGCATCAGCAGAGTCATTTTGTGGGCATCAGGAATGGTGTGTGTTAAATCAATTTTAGCCTAAAGCTGCCTCCTCACATATATTAAGTTTGGTGTAAAGGTTTCTGTGTACATTGTGACTATAACCTAAATGGACTTGTAAACAGACTGTAGCCTATTCTTGTGCCAATCACTGAGTTTTTGCCAATGAAAAGTTCGCAACTTTTCAAACCATGTTCAAATAAGGCAAACAGCCAGATTGGCTGTACCTCACTTCTGTTTTCTGTATATCACTTTCCTTTTTCTGTCCATAAATTTTCTTCCACCATGTGGCTGCACTGGAGTCTCTGAGCCTACTCTGGTTCTGGAGGCTGTCTGATTCATGAATCATTCTTTTCTCAATTACCCTCTTTTAAATTTAGTTTGGCTAAAGTTTTTCTTTTAACAGTGTGCAAGTGCACACATGTGTGGGCCAGTACAATTCTGGTAACAGTTATTAGACTGAGTTGTAGAGTTGGTGAGTGTGATAGTTAATGGTGTGTCAATGGTGAGTGGGACACGGGGAACCCAGATTAAACCTTGCCTGTTGGTGCATCTGTGAGAGTGTCTCTGGACAAGAATAACATTTATGTTGGTAAACTCCATGAGATAGACGGCCCTCCCCTGCGTGGTCAGGCATCATCTCATCTGTTAAAAATCTAAAGAAAACAAAAGGTGGCATAAAGGAAAATGTGTGTTTTTTTTCCTGCATCACTGCTTGAGCTGGGACATCTCATCTTTTTATTTTAACTTTTATTTTAGGTTGAAGGGTACATGTGCAGGTTTGTTTTATAGGTAAACTCAAGTCCATGGGGATTTGCTGTACAGATTACTTTGTCACCCAGAACAAATCCACACATATCAATACTAACCTTTAATGTAAATGAACTAAATGACCCCATTTAAAAGGCACAGAGCAGCACTCTGGATAAAAAATTAAGGCCCAATAGTATGCTGTCTTCAAGAGACCTGCCACACACACATTGACACCCATAGGACATCTTATCTTTTCTTCTCTGGTTCTTCAGCTGGGATTTACATCATGGGCTCCCCTGGTTCTCAGGCTCTCACACTCAGACTGAATGACACTTCTGGCTTTCCTGGTCCTCCTGATAGCAGACTTTTCAGCCTCCATGACCATGCAAGCCAGCTCCTCACATTATACCTTTTATGTGCATTTGTATTCTATTAGTTCTCTTTCTCTGGAGAACCTGGACTAATACAGAGGATTAAATAAGTTAAAGGCAAAGATGCCAGTTAGAAAATAGTTATAGAGTTGTTAGAAATTGTAAAAGAGTATAGCAGTATCTCTTATGAAGACTTAGAGGGGAACATGTCAGGATTTAGTGGCTGATAGATCAAAGCAAGAAAAACGAATCATGGCTTAGTCATTCATTCTAACTTGGAAGACTGAATGGTTGAGTGCAGTAATTACTGAAGATATGAACCCTAGAGAACAAGCAAAAACTGCATTAGACCCATTAAATTTGCAGTACATGTAGGAAAGTTTAACTTGTGTTTTTCTTTGTTGCTTTTGTAATGGGAAGTTTATTTTACCCTGCATATTTTTTTCTCTCAGTTGTCTTAGATGTATCAACATAGCAGCATAGCCTTCTGTATGTTCCTCCCTGAGACTGTTGCCATTTTCAAAGTGACTTAAAAGATGTTTAGTGTGCTTTGTACAATACTCAGCATGCTACTTTGTGCAAATAGATTCACATACCTTTGGGTGAAGATTTTACCATGAGCCACCCTGAAGTTATCCATAAATGGACAATGACAGATTTTTCAACAAGTTGTCACCTATTTTCTTTCTACTTTCTCACTATCTTTAAGTGTAGCACCTCTGACATGAAAGTGTTTTACAAATGGTAACTCACTTATCTTCACACCATTCCTGTGAAATACAATTGTGATGAGAAAACCTGTGATATTTTGAGAGGCAGGTGAGGAGAAAGAAAAACACAGACTACTGATTATCTCTTTACTCTGTATCAGAGGGGGAAATTATTGCAGGACTATTCATTTCAGTTTTAAGTATTTCAGAAGCTTGTTTCTCCACAATTTTAATGTCTTGCAATTATCCCTTCACTGCCAATATCCCTAAATCTCATCAAATTATCAATTAAAAAATTAACCCAAATAGTTCTTTACATCTGAAGATAGGCCATTTCTAAATGTCATATCCTGGTGTTTCTTTCTATTCTACCTCAAACAAAGCCAAAGAAACTATACTTCTTCTAAATGCATCTCAAGTCCTATTCTAACACAAGTTTGTGAAATAGGGTTTTCAGGAAAACCATAGTCAGGTAAGATTTCTAAAATAATGCATTTGCAAATTATTTGTGACATATACATAGCAGCATGAGCTTTTTCAATTTTTCTCATTTGTGAATAGTTGGAACTCTGATGGGCTCATCTAACTTTGGATCTAAGACTGCATTGTTCTTAATGTTCTCATTCCAATAATTGCTGCTGCTTAATGTGTTTATTGACTCAGATACAATACAATTTTCTCAATTCATATATACCTGGGGAAACACACATTAATTAAGCAGACTTCTGCTTTTTAGATGCTCATAGAACTTATTGTGCTGGTGAACATTGGTTATTATTTCATGAATGACTTTCAAAACAAACACTGTGCTCCACGTTAATGCACTGAACCTCAGATATTCAGAGTGACTCACTTAGCAACAGGAATGCAGCTGGGAACCTGCTGGAACTGAAGAAAATAAAAGATGCGAAAATTTGTGATCACAGGCAATAGTCCCTATCACTGCACATTTTGAGCCTAGGTTGGCTTGTATAGCCACTCACATGACCTGTATAGCTACTGCATAGCCAGTGTCTCAAAGACACTGTCAATTCCAATCCCAGTTCTCTCTTTCTAACTGTAGCTTTAGGTATCAATGAACCTCTCTGATATTGTTTCCTCCTTTGCCAATATTGAGTTTTTAGTTCAGCAAATTCTTGCAACAAAATTATTCATTTATCAGGCTGT
The DNA here is from genome assembly GCF_000001405.40 of Homo sapiens. Classification (NCBI taxonomy): domain Eukaryota; kingdom Metazoa; phylum Chordata; class Mammalia; order Primates; family Hominidae; genus Homo; species Homo sapiens. Next base: position 9,781,550 of record NC_000010.11, on the reverse strand, counting down.
CTCTTAGCTGTGCACTTTGAGAGTTCTGAATGCTTATAACAGCTTCGTTTATGTTTACCACAAATTGGAAACAATCATGATAGCCTTCACCCAGTGAATGGATAGACAAACTATGCGTGCATGCATGCGATGGAATCCTACTGAGCAATAAAGGAGAACAAAGTATTGATTTATGTAAAATATCATGAGTAATAAATGCATATTTCTAAGTGAAAGAAGATATAAACAAGGTCTATATTCTGTATGATTCAATTTATATGACATTTTGGAAAAGGCAAAACTATAGGATGGAAAACGATAAGAAGCATCAGTGATATTCACAAATTGGAGTGAATGGGGGGTATAATTGAGTATAAAGGGACAGCACAAGAGAATTTACTGGGTTGATCCAGCTCTTCTATATCATGACTGTGATAGTAGATACACCACTCTGTGCACTTGTTGAAACCAGTAGAATTATGTATCCCAAAGGTGATTTTACTATATTCAGAAAATGGAACACAAACCAAACCAAATGAACTAACTGTATTAATGAGAATAATACAATGAAGAGGTATATAGGGAAATAAAAGAACGTACTTAACACTGGAAAATAGGATTTTGATTGGGTGATTTAAGACTAAAGTCAAAATGTACAATACATAAATTTTCTATTCAAGTTAGAAAATAGTTCACAGGTGTATGAGTTAGCAATTCTAAAACTAGCAGGCCCTAGGGTAGAACAACTAAATAAATATATTGTAGCAATTACAGCCAAAATTCTTGCTGTTGGAGGAAGCTCCAACATCCTTGAAAAGGCTAGAATTAACCCTTGATGTTTGATTTGAATTGGAGGTATCAGAATTATCTTGATTTATTTTTAATAAGTAGATTCATAGATTAGATAGATAGATAGATGATGGATGGAAAATAGAAGATAGATGGGTAGATAAATAGGCAGATAGGAAATACATATGGGTGTATATGTAAGCCCGAATTACTATACAGACATCTATTTCCTAAACTTTATCAGCTAAGAGAGCCTAGAAATAATGACACTCTGCAGCATTCAGTATAGCATATTCCAAGATCTCTGTTTCTAAGCCTCAAATACCAATAAAAGCAATCTTGAAGAAGTGGTATATTCCAGAAGTGGGGCAGAAAAAAATAGCAGATGGGCCTGGAGCATCTTGTGGTACCAGAAAGTAAGGATATGCTCCAAAAAAAGATGGGTGGCTTGTCAAAAGGTCAAGGAAAAAAACCAACAGAGTTGTCAGTTTTAAAAATTGGAACATTTTGGACCACAAAACTGTAGTAGTAGTAATAATGGACTATAACCTCCAAAGAAAATAAATATCTAAAATTCTGTACTGAAATAAATAAATCAAATGAATAAATAACTGGTGAATAATACACAGCTCTTTCTTATGAAGAATTTCAACAAATAAATGAAGAAGGAAGAGAAAGAAAGAAAATCACCACTAGAACCCTGGGGTAGTAATTGTTTTGGGTAGGAGCCTCCAAGGGATGCAAATTAGTAAGCAAAAATTTGAAGAGAAACAGGATACTTGCATAGTCTCAAATCACTCATTAAAAATGAAAAAGTAATATATTTTCAATCAAGAAACTAAGGCAAAGTCACCTTCATTTGATTATCACAGTTCTCCAGTAATAAGACATATTGACATCTACAGTCTAATATGATGCACTGAGACAGGTACATTGCTTCTGTGGTACTCTTGTTGATAATGAATATTCAACCTTCATAATAAAACATCAAACAAACCCTAATTAAAGATGTATGTCAAATTAACTGGCCAGTACTCTTCAAAAGTGTTGAGTTCATAAAAGAAAACTAAAGACTGGATTTTTTTACAGATTGGAAGAGATTAAAGAGACTAGCAAAGAAGGGCAATTCCAGATCTTGGATTGGAACCTAGAACAACAGCAGTAAATCTATGAGTGGAAAAATTTATGAAATATTAATAAAGTCCATAGTTTAGTTAATCATATCATACCAATCAACATTCATTTATATATGTTGCTATTTGTACTATGGGATACAAGATTTTATAATTATGGGACACTGGGTGAAGGGGTATATGGGAACCCCCAGTGTATTTTTTCAATGTTTTTGTCAATCTAAAATTATTTCAAAAATAAAATTCAAAGAAGTAGACATTGTTATGATATAATTTGATGAGAAAGCAGGGTATTAGCTAATGTTGCTCATTATGTATATACCAATGCAATACTCTTTCTGTGAGATTAATGGGTTTGTTACAAGGAGCTAAAGGACAGTTTTAGGCTACTTTGGTTCTCTTTTGGGTAGAGAACACTGCAGTGAATTGTGGGATGGTGTAAGCCTGTGGATCCTCAAGGGTAGAGTATGACTAGCTCTTCTTGGCATCCTTAGGCTCCTTTAGATTCATCAGGGCTGGTCATGTAGTTGACCGCCCAAACATAGAAAGGATACAAGGAATGGTATTTATGGACATGAGCTTGGGGTGAGACTGCTTGTGCCTGAATTCAGCTTCATCACTTGATCTGTGGTCTTGGGCAAATTAATCACTCCATGCCTCAGTTTCCTCATCTTTTAATCAGGAAGAGAAAATAATAGTACACATCTCTTAAGATTATTATAAAAATTAAGTGAGAAAACATTTGCCAAGTGCTTAGAACAGTGCCTGGCATTAAGTAAGCCCAGTATAAATTTTAAACAAAACTAAATTGAAGGAAAGTAAGAAAAATAGAAAATAGCATCTTAGAAACTCCAAATTATCTGCGGGTAGATAGCATACATACAGGCATGGTTTTAAAACATTTTACCAAGCAATATGAAAACAAGCACAAATTAGCTTTGGTATAAAGAATGAGTACTTTACATGCCTAGTGAGGGAGTGAGCCCAGTCAAGTGATGGTAATCAGGGAATGTTAAAGATAAATCATTTTCTTCATAAATATTATGTATCTGATGAAGCTATCCTCAAGGGTACTTCATCATTTTTAATAGAGATGAATTACATTTTATTTTTGAATAGTTAACACATTTTAGTACCAATAGTGAGAACAAGCATCTGCTTCACTTAACAATATATTTAAACTGGCAGCTTTTGTAAGTTCTGTAACTTTGGCAGTTGTATACACCCATCATCATTGCAATTATCACCTCTTTTGGTAATTTAACCTCAATTCCTGATCTCTCTCCTAACATATACTGCACTATTTCTATCCAGTTAGCCTTCCAGTGTCTCAATTCTACAGATTTAAAATGAAGATTCCTCATATTTTCTTTAAAAATAAATTCTTTTTTTCACACCATTTTTTCAATTACATAAACGTGTAATGTAACTTCACTATCATTTTGGAAACTTTTTTGTACTAAATTCAATAGGTAAACAGTTCTTAAAATTCTTCATTTGTTAGTCAATGGGAACATATACTGAATACTGGCGAATGGCAGACATTTCACTAAGTACTAGGGATACAACAGGGAATTAGACGTTATCCCTAGACACAAGGAAGTGAAGGGTAAACAGAGGGTTACTGAACGTTTCATTTATTTCTCACATTCCCTATCTTACTTGCTGTTAGTCAGAGCTGGGAGACTAGTCCTGTGGGCTTTGCGCAGAAATGATTACACATCATCTTGAGCTGAGGCAGTGAAGTGCGCACCATTAATTCTTGATGCATGGTGGCTGAGAGCCATGTTTTCAACAGAGCCTGAGATATATTTGCATGTGGGAGATTTATTTGGGAAAATCCTCTTAGAAACAAAATATGAAGGATGGAAGAAAGGATTGGGCAGATGGAGAATAAGAGGCATTCACAACCTAGGCTTCAGCTGCTTTTGTGGGAAGTCCTGGACTTTAGGGGGCTGTCAGGATTGTCCAAAGTTGAGGCGAAGGTGCTCACCGTTTGCCCTCTTTTATCAGCCAGATTTTAAATGTAGGCTGATGCCAGGACTAGGCAACTACCTTTAGCCAAATCCTAGGGAAGTTACTGGGTGTGGATTCAGCTGTGAGCCTTCAGCAGGCCACAGCTTAGGGAACTGAAATGAGTGTCCTGGTACTGAAGGGGGATGAGGGATGGCCCAACACACCAACTACTGTGTTACAGAAACTGTATTAGCCTGTTGTTGAGGCTGTTACTAGGACTTGAGGATTACAAATAAAGCTACTGTGAACATTCATGTACCAGTCTATATAAGGGAATATGCTTTTACTTACTTTAGGTAAATACCTAAAAGTAGCATGAATTACTATTGTAACGTTGACAAAAATCAAGGGAAATTATAAGTACATATCTCTTTCTTCATTCCCTATTCTGTCCTATTGGTATATTTCTCTATATTTATGCCAATACCACTTTTTTTCAAAATTCCTGTAGCTTTACAAATCTCTAGTTAGTTTCAGTCCTCAAACAGTTCATCTTTTTCAAAATTATTTTGACTCTTTGCTTTTTGAATTTCCATATAAATTTTAAGATCACTTTCTCAATTTCTACAAAGTACTCTATAGGAAGATGAATTTATGGAGAAATAACATCTTAACATTATTGAGCTATTCAGTCAATGAATGTGTTACATTTTTCATTTATTTATATATGCTATAGTTTCTCTTGGAAATATTGTCTAGTTTTCAATATAAAGGTCCTGTGCATCAGAATTATCCATAAGTATTTCATATTTTCATGCTATTGGAAATGTTATCTAAGTTTCAGATTCCAATTGTTCATTGTCACTATATAGAAATACAATTTATTCTTGTATGTTACTGTTGTTTCTATTTTGCAAACTTGTGAAACTCACTCTTTTTAGTTGTAGTAGTGTTACTGGTGAATTCTCTAGCGTTTTCTATAGAAACAATTTTGTTGTCTGTGAATAAAAATAAAATATAGTTCCTTTCTGGATATTTATTTATATTGCCTTGTTGCAGTAGCTGAAGCTTCCAGAACATTGTTTAATAGAAATGGTGAGCATGGACATCCTTACTTTATTCGTTATTTTAGGGACTTTTTAAAATTAAGTATGATGTTAGCTAAAGAGTTTTTCATTATAGTCCTGTACCAATTTAAGGAAATTCTACATGATCTTAGTTTACTAAGAGATGTTGTTTGTTTGTTTTAAATATTAGAAATAGATGTTAGATATTGTCAATTTCTTTTCTGCATATATTGATATGATCTGGCTATTTTTTCTTTTTATTCTGCTCATATGATACATTATTTATTTTCTAATGTTAAACAAACCATGAATTCCTGGGATAAACACTACTTAGATGTTTAAATCGCCTTATTCATATATTTTTTTCAATTTCCCAAAATTTTGTTAAGACGTGTGTGTGTGTGTGTGTGTGTGTGTGTGTGTGTGTTTGTGAGGGGTATTGATCTGTACTTTTTTTTTGTAATGTTCTCAATTGATTTCAATATGATAATGAAGATTTTTTTTTTTTTTTTTTTGAGACAGGGTCTCACTGTGTCCCCCAGGCTGGAGTGCAGTGGTATGATCACCGCTCATTGCAACCTCTGCCTCCTGGGTTCTGGCGATTCTCTCACCTCAGCTTCCTGAGTAGCTGGGAGTACAGCCATGCGCCACCATGCTTGGCTAATTTTTTGTATAGAGGCTGGGTTTCATCATGTTGCCAGGCTGGTCTCAAACTTCTGGCCTCAAGTAATCTGCCTGCCTCGTCCTCCCAAAGTGCTGGAATTACAGACATGATCCACTGTACCCATCTAATATGATAATTATTTAAATATTATTGAATGTGCTGAGAAATATTCCTTTGTCTTAAATGCTATGGAATAGTTTGAATATAACTGGTGTTAATCCTTCAAGGTTGGTTAAATTTACCTTGAAGATAATATTCTGGTGGTCCCAGAATATTGTTACCACCAGAAAATTATAAATTACATATTCAATTTTTCAATAGATATGAAGCTATTCAGGTTATATTTACACACACACATGAATATGTATGATCATATATGCATAGATGTATAAATACATGTATGTGTATTATATATACATATATACTTTATATATACATGCATTGGTAGTTGACATCTTTCAAGGACTTTGTTCATACCATCTAAATTGAAGAAACTTAATAGCATAAATCTGTTCAGTATATTTCTCCAGCCTTTGAAATCTGTAGGATCTATAGTAATGTCACGTTTTCACTCAGTAAATTGAAAATTGTGCCTATTCTTTTTTTTTTGATGCATTAGCATGTCTAGAGATTTTTTAGTTTCCTTAACGTATACCACTTAACCAATTTTTGTTTCATTGATTTTTCATAATTTTTGCTGTGCTCATTATTATTTCCTTTTTTCTGCTTTGTTGTTTTTAATGATTTATTTTTGTTTGTTTACTTGTTTGTTTCTTATGGGAGAAGATTAGGCTATTAATTTGAACTCTTTCTTCTTTACTGTATAGGCATTTTGTGATATAAATATTCTAAGTACTGTTCGTTGCATACAACAAGGTTTGGTATATTGTGTTTACAATTTTGTACTGATTTACGTAATTTATAATTTCCTTATTTATATCTTTTTTTTGGCTCACAGGTTATTTAGACATTTACGATTCATTTTCTGAATATTTAGGGACATTCCAGATATTTTTCTTATATAGTTCCACTGTGGTCAGAAAGTATTCTTTTATAAATTCAGTCTTTTTAAACTTTTGAGACTTGTTTTATTATTCAGAATAAGATTTGTCTAGGTAAATGTCTTGTACATACCTGAAAAGTAATCATTTCTACTGCTGCTGGGTGGGGTATTTTGTAAACATCAGTTAGGTCATAGTATGGTTCCAGTCATTTATTTTCTTATTGATTTTCTGTATACTCAATCAATTATTAAGGGGATGGTGTCAAGATATCATGTTATAATTGTGGATTTTAGTTATTTTTTCAGTTCTGTCACTGTTTGTTTCAAGTGATTTATGGCTTTTTCATTAGGTGTAGAATGATTTAGAATTATTATATCATCTTAATGAATTAATCCCTTTATCATTTTGATATGGCCCCTTTATTTCTGGCAATATTCTTTACTCTGAAATCTACTTTGTCCCATATTAATGAAGTTACTCCAGATTATTTTTTTAAATTAATGTCAACATTATAGTTCTCTTTTTAAATTCTTTTTACTTTCATTCTATTTGTGTCTTTACATTTAAGTTGGTTTTCTATAGGCAACATTTTATTGGGTCTTGCTGTTTTAGCCAATTTGACAATGACTGCCATTTAATTGAGGTATTCAGACAATTTTTGTTTAATATGATTATTGATATGGTTAGATTTGAATCTGGAATTTTGATGTTTTTTATCTATATAACCTGTTCTTGTTCAGTTTTCCCTTTTTTCTTCTATATTTTGGATTAGCTAATTTTTAAAAATGATTTTCTTAGCTTATTTGTTGGTCAGTTAGCTACAATTTTTTGTTAACTCCACACCCACACCCTACCATGGTGGCTGTAGGGCTTTAGTATACAACTTAAATTTATCACAGTTAACATTTAAGTGCTTTTACTATTTTACATATGAGAATATTACAGCAAATGTATTAAGACATCCAACTCTAATTTGCTCACCTTTGTACTACTCTTGTTAAGCATTTTATTTCTATGTGTGTTATAAATCTTGTAATACATTGTTGTTATTTTTGCCTTATACAGTCAGTTATCTATTGATTTCTAGCTTTATACCATGGGTCAGAAAATATATTTGCTGTAAATCCAAGTTTCCTATTTTTTTAAGACTTGTTTTGTAGCCTAACATGATCTATGCTGGAGAATGTTCTGTGTGTGCTTCTGAAGAATTTGTAGTCTACTGCTGTTGGATGAAATGTTCAGTCCATTTGTTCTGTAGCATTGTTCAAGTCCACTGTTTTCTTAGGATTTTCTGTCTCGATGATTTATCTATTATTGAAACTAGAATTTTAAAGTTTCCTAATGTTATTATATTGCTCTCTATTTCTCCCTTCAGATCTGTTAATATTTGCTTTACATGTTTAGGTGCTACAATATTGGCTACATATATATTTATAACTGCTATATCCTTTTGTTTGACATTTTTATCAATATATAGTAACATTTTTGCCTTTTATGACAGTTTTTGACTGATCTATTTTGTCTGATATAAGAATAGCCACTTTGGCTCTCTCTTCGTTACCATTTGCATGGAACAGTTTTTCATCCCTTTGCTTTCAGTAGATGTGTTCTTAAAATTAAAGTGAGTCTTGTAGGCAGCATATAGTTGGTTTTTAAAAATCCACTCAGCTACTCTCTATGTATTTTAATTAGGAAATTTAATTCATTAACATTTAAAGTAAATTTCATTTTGTTAATTATTTTCTGACTTTCTTGTAGTTCCTTCATTGGCTTTATTCCTCTCTTGCTGTCTTGTTTTGTGATTATGTGATTATTTTTGGAGGGATATACTTTGATTTCTCTTTCCTCATATGCTGTCTCTCTATTACAGGTTTTTTATTTGTATTAACCAGAGAGCTGACATAAAATATCATCTAGTTATAATAGTCTATTTTAAGCTGATAGCAACTTTAATCATATACAAAATCTCTACACTTTTATTTCTCCCTCTATACTTTGTTATTGTTGTTACCTTTTACATTGTGTGTCCATTTATAAACCATTTTAGTTTTTAAAATGTTTGTCTTTTAAATTTTATACTAGAATTGAAAATATTTTATGCACCATTACTACAATATTAAACTATTCTGGTTTTGAGATTGAACACTGTGTCTCACACCAGCAATCCCAGCACTTTGAGAGGCCAAGGTGGAAAGATTGCTTGAGACCAGAAGTTGGAGACCAGCTTGGGCAACATACAGAGACTCTATCCTACAAAAGTGAAAATAAAAAAATAGCCGAACATGATGATGATGTTGCAGCCTATAGTTCCAGCTACTGAGGAGGCTGAAGCAGCAGGGTTGCTTGAGCCCAGACGTTCAAGGCTGCAGTGAGCTATGGTCACATCACTACACTCTAGCCTGGGCAACAGAGTGAGACCCTGTGTCTACAAAGATAAAATAAAATAAATTAATAAACAAAGTATTCTGTATTTAGTCATATATAATACTTAGCTTTTGCCAGTGAGTTTTATCATTTCATAGGTTTTCATGTTGCTAATTAGTGTCCTTTTATTTCAAGTTGAAAAACTCCCTTTAGCTTTTCCTTTAACATAGGTCTAGTGGTGATGAACTTCTTTAATTATTGTTTGTCTGGGGAAGAGTGTTCATCCCAGTCTTTCTTGGCCTGCAGGGTTTCTTCTGAGAAATCCACTGACAGTCTTATGCAGGGCTCATGTGAGGAGTTGCTTTTATTTTTTTCCACTTTCCAACTTTCCTCTTTGTTTTTGACTTTTGACAATTTGACTATACTATGCCCCTATGCAGATATCTTTACACTTAACTATTTGGAGACATTCATGCTTCATGAAATTACATGTCAGTTGTCCTCTCTAGATTTGGGAAGTTTGGGGCTGTTATTTTTTTAAATGGGCTATCTGTTCTTTTCTCTCTCTGTTCTCCTTTTGGGAACTTTATAGTGCACATATTGGTTACCTTGATTGCATCCTATAAGACTCTTAGATTTTCTTCACCCTTTTCTTTTTCTTTTTTCTTTTTTGTTGACTGGATTATTTCTCATGATCTGCCTTCTAGTCTCTCAATTCTCTCTTCTTGATTAAATCTGCTTGTGAATCCCTCTAGTAATTTTTTATATTAGTTATGTATTCTCCAGTCCCTTTTTTTTTTTAACTGTTTTTACCTCTTTGTTGAACTTCTAATTTTGTTAATGTATTGTTTTCCTAATTTTGTTTAGCTGTATGTCTGTTAACATTTCTTGTAGTGCAGGCAGGATAATATTAAAACTTTTAGCTTACGCATGTCTGAAAACATCTTTATTTCATCCTTCTTTGAAAGATGTTCCATTTGGTGTATACTACAGTTCTAGGTTCACAATAATTTCATTTAACAACTTAAAGATTTTGCTTCACTCTCCTCTGTCATACATTGTTTCCAATGGAAAATCTTTTGCTTTAAATATACTCTTAATTTTTCTTTCATAGATGCTTTTTTTCTTCTTTATTTCCATTTTTAAGAAACTTGATTTGGAAGTGCCTTGATGTAATTTTCTTAATATTTCTTGTTTTTGGGATTTGCCAAACTTTGGATCTTTGGCTTATCAAGTAGTTTTCTATATCCCCATCTATCTTTTTGTTTTGAGATTCAAATTACATATATATTATGGTGCTTGAAATTTCTGCACAGCTCTGAGATGCTCTGTTCATTTTCTTTTATTTTTTGCTGTGTTTCATTTTAATAGTTTTTATCACTCTCACTTTAAATTCAGTATTTTTTTTCCCTGTGATGTCTAATTTGTCTTTAATCTCATCCAGTATATTTTTCATATTAGGCATTACAGTTTTCACATCTTTAGAAACTTTATTTTTTTATATCCCAATCTTTTCTCTAACATCTTTAACATAGAAATACATTTATAACAATCCTTTAACAATACTTTATTTCAGTGTTAAATTTTGATTTATTGATTTTTATCGTCATTATAATTGTATTTTTGCTTGCCTGAACATTTTGAATTTGATGACAGATAAAGACTTTTCTTATTGAGTATTGGATATTTTTGTATTTCTGTAAATATTCTTAAGATTTGTCCTGAACTGTGGTTATCTGGAAAATTTTCCTGACTTGCTGAGTACTCCACCTATGCCCCATTAATTATGAGGCTTTCTATCTCAGCTGGTGGGAACAGAAACTAGTTCTGGCCCTCTATGAGCACTGTGATTATTCCTTAAATCATTTCAATTGCATCTTTTCCTGAACTCAAGGTTTCAGTACACAGCTGAAGACGTGAGGTTTACCTCTGTGACTATCCAGAATTCTCTCCACAGAATCCTGCCCTTCAATCTTGTGCTACCCTGAAATCCCTGGACTCCCATCTTTGTCTGCTCCACTCTGAGAGGGCGTCATATCTGACTGGGTTTCCTCTTCCAGAGCTGAGGCCAAGAACCTGTCTCTATGTGTAAATAAGGGGAAGCGTAGGGCTTAAATCACTCATTTCCATTATCTCAGGAATTACTATCTTCATTGCCTGATGGCCAAAGTATTAAAAAGTGTCTGAGTTTTTTCTTTTTTTTGGGACAGAGTCTCACTCTGTTGCCAGGCTGGAGTGCAGTGGTGTGATCTCGGCTCACTGCAGCCTCCGCCTCCCGGATTCAAGGGATTCTTCTGCCTCAGCCTCCTGGGTAGCTAGGACTACAGGTGTGCACCACCACGTCCAGCTAATTTTTGTATTTTTAGTAGAGATGGGGTTTCACCGTGTAGGCCAGGATGGTATTGATCTCTTGACCTCGTGATCCACCCGTCTCAGCCTCCAAAAGTGCTGGGATTACAGTCGTGAGCCACCGCACCCGGCCATGTCTGAGTTTTTAATTGTTTCAGGTGAAGATGTAAATTCAATTCCTTTTACTCCACCTTGGTGAGAAAATGAAGTTGTTATTATGTTTTTGAGAGAGTTGTACTGTTATATTTACATGTGTATATATATATATATATATATCTCAGATATTATCATGTATATATCATTTATTAGTTTATATAGTATATTTATATATGTGTGTGTGTGTGTGTGTGTGTGTGTATTTGAGGATCTATACACATAGAACAAATAGAACAAAGTATACACCAAAATGCAATACTCAAGTTTAAAAGTATATTTGGGCTGCCAGTCTTTCTCATATTGTAATTAGGCACAGTCCAGAGGGAAGGAAATCCCCCGTGAATATCTCAATTGTTATCAAGGAGACAGAGGCCAAAAAATACTCACCCTATGAATGCTGCAAGAGCCATGAAGAATAATGGAAAATGAAAGTCCCTTCAGAAACCAGAATTGGAGCCTAATCAAGGAACATGCCCCATTTCCTTTAAGATAGCTTCAAAATATCTACCCGGCATTCTTTCAGAATTTGCTACAATTCAGTGACTTCTGTGCATCTCTTCTTTTTACACTGGAGTATTACCCCTGTTCCACCATTATCTGTATATGGTGGAGAGTGCAGATATTCCTTTTATTTTTCTTTTGTTTAAAAATTTAGTGATCCTCAGCAAAATAAGTGAAACTTAGACTTTAGATTTTACCCCAGAGATCCCAAACTTTCCTTTCAGCATGTACATATGACTTTGGCTTGTCATCCCTGGGAGAAGTTGAGGATCTCCAATGTGTTTTACTTAAAAGGGAGAGGAGCCAAAATTGATGATCACAAGGGGACCCTGAGGCAAAAACAGTGCTGTTCACCAAATATTCTACCTGCTTCATAGAATTTCTTAGCCTCCTAACAATTAAGTGGGACAGTGTGACTGAATACTACTGCTGCACATTCAGAAGTAATATGTGTCACTTTAGGGCTGAAGTAGTTAACAGACCATTTGCTATTCTACCCTGTCTTTCCTTGCTCCTGCCTTTGAGAAAGCCAAGTGTCCCAAGGGGTATAGCCACAAGATGGAAGGACAACGTCACCATGGGTTTTGAATGACCATGCAGAGCAAAGTTCCTCATCTGATGGGCATTAGACAAGTAGCACAGATAGAAAATTAACGTGGTTGTGTAGAGCCATTGAGATTTAGGAATCTTACTAATTATAGCGAAGTATAACCTACTTTATATGTATGTGTGTGTGATGATGATATGTGTGTGTTTTCTTATTTAACCTTTATGATACCCCATATAAAATTGGTTTTATCAAATAAATTTATCAATGGAGTCCTAAAGTTCATGCTATGTGCTCAATATTACATTGTGAAGAAGTGAGCCGAGCTTTCAACCCAGGCCTGGCTGACTTCAAATCCTGTCATCCAAATAATGACACTGCTGTGATTGTCATGTACCCCATCCATGAGAAGTCAAAGGGAGAGATGGTCAACATAGGAGCCTCAACCAAAATAAAGATTGAGAAGAGACCAGTTATTGTGGTTATCAAAGGTTGTGGTTGATCTTAGCAAGGGTAATTTAAGACAAAAATTAAAAGTTTGGGCCGGGCGTGGTGGCTCAAGCCTGTAATCCCAGCACTTTGGGAAGCCGAGGTGGGTGGATCACGAAGTCAGGAGATCGAGACCATCCTGGCTAATATGGTGAAACCCCGTCTCTACTAAAAATACAAAAAAATTAGCCGGGCATGGTGGCGGGCGCCTGTAGTTCCAGCTACTTGGGAGGCTGAGGCAGGAGAATGGTGTGAACCCAGGAGGCAGAGCTTGCAGTGAGCCTAGATGGCGCCACTGCACTCCATCCAGCCTGGGCGACGGAGCGAGACTCCGTCTCAAAAAAAAAAAAAAGATTTGACTGTGATGGGCTGGAGAATAAATGGATTTGAAGTGCTGGTAGAAATGACTGATCTTTTCAACCTGGATCAAATCCCTGACCTGATACAATTTACTTGAATGCACACCTATATGTGCAAAGACACCTACATTTGCACACACACACACACACACACACACTCTATCTTTTATGGCCCCTCAATATGGGGGTATATTTGAAAAGAAAAAAAATACCTGCTCAGTTGATTGTGATTCTCCCCATTCTTTCCCTTTCTTTTTGGAGACTGACTGGTACAGGCAATTCTTATAGAAATTGTGAGAGCAGAAAAGAAACTACAGCTCCTTTTTAAAACTTATTGTTTTTTAATAATTTTTAATTGAATAGAAGTGCAATTGTTCACATGTAAAATAAAAAGAAATGAAAGGAAAATATATGTTTTTTTTTTGTTGTTGTTGTTGTTTGTTTTTTGTTTTTTTTTTTGACACAGTCTTGCTCTGTTGCCCAGGCTGGAGTGCAGTGGCGCAATCTCGGCTCACTGCAACCTCTGCCTCCTGGGTCAAGCGATTCTCCTACCTCAGCCTCCCAGGTAGCTGGGATTACAGGCCCCTGCCACCACGTGGGCCTGGCCAATTTTTGTATTTTTAGTAGAGACAGGGTTTTGTCATGTTCGCCAGGCTGGTCTCGAACTCCTGACCTCGTGATCCACTGCCTTGGCCGCTCAATATATGGTGGTTTTTATGAAGTAATAAAGTACAATGAGGACACTGGCAAGAGGTGACGTGGCCTGGACTGTGGGGAAACGTGTCCCTTATGTGAGGAATAAAAGCTTGAGTGCAGACATAGAGTCCCACTCCATGCCCCTGGCTTACCTTCTGCTAGGGAATAGTAAACATTTGGAACTTATTATTTCTTCTAAACTTTCACTACTGTAGCCCCTTCCATCTCCCCCCAAGTATTCCCACCTCCATCAGGTCACATTGCTCACCTTACTGCTGTTCGTGGCCTGAAATTCCCAACTTGATAGGATGGAGCCCCTGCCAAGAAGCGAACCAAGAGGCAAATGTGAGACAAGCAGCCTTTGCACTGATTCTTCACATCTGCACCACAAAAGGCTGTATGAAAATACAACATTTGTTGGATAAATTACAGTATGGGAAAAGGAAAACAGATTCTTAAAACTATCATTAGCATGACTTTTCCTGTCTTCAGAAGCCATGCATTGGAAATTCAGTGTCTTTACAGAGAGCCCTCTGGTGGGCATACCCTAGTCCCTAACACATCCTCCATCTGCATCTCTCCTCTCAGAAATACTTGTTCACTCATCATTACCAGGTGGGACACCATCCATAGAGTCACCTTTTAACAAACTTCTCCCCATCATCATAGGGATTAATATCATCCTCAAGAAAGACCCTTCTCTGTGTCTCTGGTATTCAAGCTAAGTGACCTTACATGTGCGTCATTCATGCGGTGAGTATAGGAGTTGTTACTTTTGACACTCCAAATCTGGAAGAACCATTTATGGAAAAACAGATGTGAAGGGAAGGTGGTATGTGGATACTGTGCATCTCAATATCAATTGTGTGTGGGTGTGAGCTTGATATGGTCCCTTCTCATGGCGTATGTTATAGAAATTTCTCTCTTCCTTTCTGATTGTTGGGACCTGTGAATCACACACACACACAAACACACACACACGCACACACACATGCCACAGAGTTTTCTTCATTGTGGATAAAGTTTCTCAGTGATAATAATGCCCAAACTCATTAGAAGAGACAGCTTTTTCTAACTCCTCAATGTTTTAATATTTTACAAGGCAACTGCTTTCCAATGGAGTACAGTATTTTGCATCAAAGTGTTTGTTCTTTTCTCATTTCCTCTCTGCCCCTGCAGCTTTTATAATTGGGCCACTTGGGTGCCCAGCAGAAGAATGACTCCCTGTACTGAGCCATATTTCTCTTAATAAAAAGTTTTGCCTGTACATTTTGGACCACATGAAAGAACTTTACTCAAATCCTTAGCCAAAGGCTAGTCCTATTCGAAATATTTGCTTGGAAGGAGGAAAGAGAATTGTTTTATTTTTTAGTTACAAGAAGAAAGAGACCACTGTGGTAAGAATTCATTTGTAGTCAGGATACAAAAATGAATGAAGCTTTGACAGATGGTAGCTACTTCCTCTATTAAGTAAATCTAGGGTCATTGGCTAATGGTAATGTGGGAGATAATGGAAAAATGGTATAGGAGAGAATGGTTGCAGAAGAAACCGTCAGTGTGGAGTTTGAGAAAGGGAGCTCATAACACTGAACATAAGTTCTCTATAAGTGGGTCCAGTTGAAGGTAAAGAGTGTACATTTGTCATGATAGTGATCTACATGTCTATAGCTTGGTACAGAAATGAAAAACACAAATGGTCATACCAAGCTAATGTTAAGAGTTTGCAGGGGAGTGAGTTGCAGACCAAAAATAGTAGGTGGATAGATTTGCTGCTCAGGGAGTAAGTGAAATACTGGGCATAGCCTGGGGAGGTCTTACTCCATAAAAGGGGAAGGGAAAGGAAAGGGAAAGCTAGGTGCGTAGCATCATGTGCTTCTTCCTGCCCCACTGTGACTAGCCTAAATCCTGTTGGCAGTCTTTCCCAGGGGTATTCATACTGCTGTGCAACCCACCACCTCCTGATCCTCTGTGTTACAAGGATAATTAAACTGTGGTGCCAGGTTAATCTTCCTATTGCAACGTTTTAATTAGGAATTCCCCTGGCTCAAAAACTTTTCATGTCTTCCCATTGCCTTTCCCATGTTCTCCATTTCTCTTACTTGCAACTTACAACTCTCACATGGACTGCATTTCTCAATAGAGTATTCCATCTTGAAATATGATCAGCTCTGTTAAATATGGCACTTCAGGTAAGGTAGGGTAGTCGATTCTAAGTCTTCAGGGAAATTAATCCAATTAACGTTAACCCCACACTTCTGATCTATGGGAAGAGAGGAACAGTGAGAGACTGATTCATTTCCTACTGACCAAAGGAGACGTGTACCTAGAGCACAATAAAAAGTCAGAGCCCTGACCCTAAACTGGGGCTTTGTGATTGCTGTAAATCTATCACACTATGATGAAAATCTGAGATGTAACCTAATTCTTTAGCCCCTTCCCTACACATGCTCAGATGGGAAAACAAGGGGTACGTGAAGCTAGCTGTGATCCAAAAACTTGTTAAAAGTGTTTTAGATGTTAGATCACACCCATCCTGGAGAGAAAGCATATGTTCTCTATATTTTTCTCCAGCGTTGGAAATGTTGCCTTGGGGGTTGTTGTCATTTCTGTCTTTTCTACATACATAATAAATTGGAATTCTTTTCTTTGTTAAGATTTTTAATAAGCAGCAGTGTTAAAGAGCACTTATTTAGATGAAACATGCTAGAGGGCAAAGGGGAATTGAAATATCCTATAAATTATTGAAATTAGCCAATGGGAAACATAATTAATTGATTTCCCTTACTTTCTGGAAAGTCTGTATATGCTCTGTATCCATGCCTTTTGAAATTTTATCTACTCAAAACCCACCTCCAAGGTTACTTCACGCATAATTTTCCCCAATCATATATGTTCCCTTCCTTCTTTCAACTCAGGTGACACATTGTGTTTTGTAAAGCTAATATGTTTTATGTTATAAAATAATTATTTTCTACATATCTTATCTCTACAATTGCAAAATTATTAAGAAGCTTATAGTGACAGTCATAAATATTCATATAAAATGAATACTATTATTTTATTTTGAATAAAGTTTTATATGCCTTTTCTATTTTAATCCTTGCTGTAACCCTCTGTGCAGACATTATTTTGAAGACTATTATTGTCCTCCAATTTATCTTGAAGCTTTAGAGTAAAACAGTCTTGGGCTGTATTCCTGGATTTGAAATATATTGGATTTGTGTCTCTAGGCAAGTTATTTAATTTATCTGAGCTTAATTTTCTTCATTTTTAGAGGTAGCATGGTATTTATATCTTATATAACTTACATACATTCATATATTTACATAATTTATCATTGCTGTAAGAAATGAATGTTTGCTTATATATAACATATAAAATGCCTACACGTGAGGCATTCATATAATTACTATTTGGAATATTTTTCACTATGCATATTCCATATGTATTGGAAGCCCACTAATGTTCAAAGCAGTTTGAAAGTTGCAACTTTCAAGTACTTGCACTTGACTATTAGCGGTTAGGGAATAAACCAAAATAAAGAATGGAATCCTGAAGTTATACCTTTCTCTTTGTGGGGAAGAGCAAATCCCACAGGCTTAGACATCATCAAACACATAACACAGGAAATCAAACAGATTAATGAGTGCATATGCATATGATAAACCCAAATATTATATTAATAGGCACAAATGTTATGAATCATGAAAAAAATCATAAAATAAATTATCAATAAAAATATACATTTAATAAGTTCACTAGCATAACAAGTTGCTACTATTAGGCAAGTGTAAAGACCATGCAGACATAGTGATCTTTCCAGATTCTTCTGAGCTCCAAATAGAATGAGAAAAACTTGCAGATGTCACACAAACAATACTGGCTGGTAAGGCGTAGTCTGTCTCTCACTGTGCACATTTTAACCTCTTGAATCATGTCTGTTGCAAGAAAAACAGTATGTCAAGGTAGAGGGTCCGGAGATTCTAGTTATATACCATGAGTATGACTGATGAGAAATGCTTTCGCATTGTTTGAATATCAGAGTCATTTAAACTATTTTACAGGAAGAAAAAAATGTAGTTTAACTTAGAGTGATGAAAACATCTGCTACTGGCAGTTCGACAGAGAGTGGTGAGTAAGAGAGATTTCACAGAAGTTGGCTTATTTTGGAAAGCAGCAGGCCACAGCTGATATTGATTGAGATGGACATCCTTATCAATATGACCTATATAATGTCTTGAGATAAAAATATTCTATTTGATGGCTTGGCATTCTTCTGGCCCGAAAAGACTGTAGTAACTTTAGAAAGAAGGGCAAAAGCTGATGTCATCATGATAATGAAATTATTGCAAAATGGGGCAATCTATGGGGAATTAAGAAATGCCATAACATATTTTGAGGTCGGCAGAGACAATGACACATAGTTAGGAACATTTAGTCATGCGGTTAAGCAAAATGATGTATTTGCCCAAAAATGCCCTCATATTTATGAAGGCTTGGAATGGAAGCAATAGGAGTGGATTAAAAATAAAGAACAGGAGTTTTGACCCAGATATAATTGGACCCCTGGGTCTTTCACTTTCCTGCGGTATCACATTGGGAACAAGAGCAGGGAAAGACATTACTTATACTTCCAGTTTCTCTTTTATACAATAGGTGCCAGATTAATTATCTCATGGTATTGTTGAGAAAGAGATGCCATGTGTGGCCAACACAGTTCCTGCTACACAGTAGGCATACAGTCAATGGCAGGTCTCTGTTCATAATTTTATCATGGTTTTGGTTGAAAAATTCATTGTGAGTTTAACTTCTGGCTTTCAGTGCTAAATAAATAGTGCCTCAGTGATACCACGAGAATCAAGGTCAGAAGGAATTATTTTCTAGGGTACTGGATAATAATCTTCATTTGGAATAAAGAGAGATGTGTTTCTCCACTAACTTGTTTTTATACACTTACTTAATGATTTGAAACCACTTTTAAACGAGCTAAGTATCCTTCTCTGTCCCCTTAGAAAACAGAATCAATCCAAGCACTCACTTGTACAGCAGTTAGATGATATGGTTTTATTATCAGAATTTAGGGGTAGCTTGAAGAGATCACTGGCACTTCTATATAATTACTGTTAGAAATAATTATTTAAAAAGAAGTATTCCAAGGTCAAAATAATTTTTTGGTGAGTGTCCTTCATCGTAGAGTTAACTCCACAGAACGAATCAATCCATTCAATTACCTGGGCGTTCTTTTTATGACCTGTTTATTTTAAAGGATTAAACCTGGACAGTGCATTATGGGAAGTTACATGTTCTCTAGGCACTTCATTCGAGTACGAATTTAGTAGCACTTGAACACAGTTAAAGTTAAAATCATTGCAATCTTGCCCCAAGGGGAGAAAACATGGAGGCCTCAGTTGCCCGTTGGTCAGTTTGTTGGTGTGAACTTTGCATTCCTTTCTGAACGAGTTTTGGTTCTGCTTGCCCAAACTAATTCAACAACTCCTCCAAGGTTGGAGGAGTATCTCAGGCATGTTTTTGACCTTTACTTTGCTGTTGGTAAAGTCAGGCATATATTCTGTTAATTGACAGCGTGGACTACTGTACTTCAGCTGTAATGAAAACTACAAGAGGAGAATCACTTGAACTCAGGAGGCAGAAGTTGCAGTGAGCAGAGATTGTGCTACCGCACTCCAGCCTGGGCGGCAGAGCGAGACTCCTTCTCAAAAAAAAAAAAAAAAAAAAAAAACCAAAAAAACAAAACAACACAAAACAAACAAACAAAAAAACACAAAAAGCTGCACAGTATTTCTCAATAATGTTCATGGAAGACAATTTGTAGGATAATCCATTTCTTTAGATACTTTAAGTCCTAACATTTGGTGAAATCATACTATAAAAACTATGCTACCTGTATGCTACTACTTAACAGAAGTGTGACTTCCTGGTATCTGGCAAGTGTAACTTGTCACTCCATAGCCAGCTCTTTTGAAAATATGGTTATAGCACATGTTGTTCATTTTGGATAATATCTCATCCCTCAGTTTTAGGAATAGATTAATTCCTTTGAACCACTAACATTTATTTTTTGTTGGCCAAACTAATTATTTATAAATGATATTTTCTTCTTTTTATCAAATATTCAAGTCTCAAAGCAATGTTTTTGATCCACAGGATTTTATGACATATATTTGCCTACTAATCTTATGTTCAGTTTCATCTTATGATGCTCACCCCAATTTCCCTTTGTTCCAATTTGTTTAAATCTTTGCTTTTTTAAATTTCTTGTATCATGAATCATCTGTAAGCGATATCATGGTAGCCGTGAAAATGCATGGTTCTAATCTCTTTCAAGAGACCGAGCTGGGGTGCCCACGTCACTGACAGACCTAGAGATCCACCACCATTTAGAAAAACATGTTTTCCCTGTGTAGGCTTCTCAGGGATGAGGGCTAATCGTGGTGTATGTCCTGGTGCTGGCCCATTTCTACGGGATACAGGATGCCTTAAGAGAGCATCCTTTGGCTTGGGGATCCCTAATCACCCTGACCCCAACTTGTCTCGAGCTCTGCTGCAGTGTGAGGCTCTTCCTGCTCAGTCTTCCACAGCATTACATGCTGGAGGACCTTCCTGCTGACTCAGGCCCTGTCCCCTTTGCCTTCAAGTGAGTTTCTCCCATTAAATCCTCTGTACATCTAATGGTTTGGATGTGTTTCCTCTCCAGACCTCATGTTGAAATGTGATCCCCAGTATTGGAGATGGGGCCTAGTGGAAAGTGTTTGGCTTATGGGGGTGGATTTTTCATAAATGGCTTGGTGCCCTCCTCGTGGTAACGAGTGAGTTGTTGCTGTGAGTTCATGCAAGATATGATTGTTTAAAAGAGTGTGGCATCCCTCTGCCCCTTGCTCCCACTATACCTATGTGAAATGCTGGGTCCCCCTTCATCTTACATCATGATTTGAAGTTTGCTGAGGCCCTCATCAGAAGCTAAGCAGATGCTGATGCCTTGATTGTACAGCTTGCAGAACCGTAGTCCCAATAAACCTCTTTTCTTTATAAATTACCCAACCTCAGGTATTCTTTTATAACAGTGAAAATGTACTAATATTGGACAAATGTACTATAACAGATGTTCTTCTTGGTGTATACTTCTTGAAGGACGTGAATTAACAGAGGTGATCTAAAGAATAGTCTAAACAAGGCAGACATTGAGATGGTCCTTGGGAATTTGTTCACTTGCTGCTAAGGTATCAAGGATAACATCATTTTAAATATTCTAATTGCCACAGATAGTTTCTTAAATAAGATGGGAGTGTGGTTGCTAAAGATTTCATGGCCAAATGCAGTGGCTCAAGCCAGTAATCCCAGCACTTTGGGAGGCTGAGGAGGGCAGATCACAAGGTCAGGAGTTCGAGATCAGCCTGGCCAATATAGTGAAACTTCGTCTACCGAAAATAAAAAACTTAGCCGGGCGTGGTGGTGTGTGCCTGTAATCCCAGCCAGTGCGGAGACTGAGGCAGGATAATTGCTTGAACCTGGGAGGCAGAGGTTGCAGTGGGCCGAGATCGTGCCACTGCACTCCAGCCTGGACGACAGAGCAAGACTCCATCTCAAAAAAAAGAAAAAAAAAGATTTCATGAAGAGTAACCTGAGAAAACAGGGAAGTGCCCTTGTAGGTGAAATGACTCAGGCTGAATGATGCAGGCACTTGAAAGGTATGGGGGAAAGTCATGTTCATAAGAAGAGCAAAACTGTGAGTTTACACCCAAATAATATTGGCCCTGCAGAGGAATAAAGAGAAACTGAAAAGCTTTTACCAAATGGAGGCTAATGTGAAAGTCAAATGGGCTTGTTAAGTTTAGAATGAGGCCCATAGGTCCTTATGTGGAAGCAGACAGGGTATTAAAGAGGAGGAGCAGTAGCCCTCCTGAGTCATTAGGTAAGGCAGATCTGTTATGCTAAAGTCAGGCACTGACTCGAAAAATATGAAGCCCCGAAAATGAAACAGGCCCATCTAAATGGATGTTCCTGGGGATTTTGATTCTGCAGATGTGGCCCACGTCTTCTTAATAGGAGCTAGCACTTCAACCTGTGGATTGATAAAGCAAATGTCTTCCTCAGAAGGCCATTGGCCCTCCCTAGACCTGTTATAGACTGAATTGTTTCTCCCTAGAATTCAGTGTTGAAGCCCTACCCCCCAGTGTGACTGTAATAGGAGATAGGATGGGGTCATAATGGGGGGGTCCCTAATCCAACAGGACTAGTGGCCTTGTGAGAAGAGAGAGCAACACCAGCAATGCACATGCAAAGAGGAAAGGCCCTGCAAGGATGCTAAGAACGAGGACGGCCATCCGCCCACCAAGGAGAGAAGTATCAGGAGGAACAAACCGGCCAACACCTTGATCTTGGACTTCCAGCCTCCAGAACTGTGAGAAAATGATTTTTTTTTTTTTTTTTTTTTTGGTAAGCCACCCAATCTTCAGTATTTTGTTATGGCAGCCCTAGTGCTAATACAATCCACCACTGTTCTGGCTTCCAGGTCCGCAGCTTGGGCTACCTTCCAGCATAAAGTCACTAAAGATGTGCCGGGCATGATGAAGGAAGAAAGCGACTACATGCTGAAGGAGATGGTGCGGGGACTCGCTAGTACCTATTGGCAGGACCTGGGGAACTTTGGTGGGTGCTTGATAATGGGGACTGGAATAAAAACTGGCTAAGCAAAAATTTATGGACTTGGATTCACTTTCTCAGAACACAGTTTAATACCTTGGCAAGGATTGCAGCATATGGGGCAAACTCCCTGCAGGGTGACCCTTAGAAACCTGGAGAAAATGTAAAAGCCCTTTCTTGAGGAATTGTCATTTCCTAAATTGTCATGAAGAAAGGTAGAGAAAGGTAGAAAGAGGATGAGGAAAGTGGGTACTCTGGAATGGACACATTAGGTGAGGACAGAAGATCTGCCAGAGGTTAAGTATTATGACACGCTATTCACTAAAACCATTAGACACACCATTCACCAGCTGGTGAAAAAGGCTACCAGAATCACTAAAATTTCAGTGGCTGTTCTATGCAGGCCAGGGCTGAAGGTAGCAGAGGCCGTCACAGGCTGGACTCACTGACAGCCATAGGCAAGTTCTCTCCTCTACACATCCACTGGGCTCACAATCCCATTTATCGGCCATTTCCCCATTGGCCAAGTGGATAACAAGGACTAATACACTAGACAGTTGGAGTAACCCCCACATTGGGTCCTACCCTAGTAGGGAGGGCCATGTCAAACCTCTGGGACTGACCCTCCTTCCTAGTCCAAGGTAGTAAGTCGTTAATAATATTGCATCCCAGGAGCATGACTATTATTACCACCATTAAAGATCTAAATGGGCCAGGCGTGGTGGCTCACATCTGTAATCCCAGCAGTTTGAGAGGCTGAGGCAGGTGGATCGCTTGATCCCAGGAGTTTGAGACCACCCTGGGCAACATGGCAAAACCCTGTTTCTACTAAAAATACAAAAAATAAGCTGGGTGTGGTGGCGTGTATCTGTAATCTCAGCTACCTCAAGGGGCTGAAGCACGAGAATCACTTGAACCCGGGAGGTGGAGGTTGCAGTAAGCCAAAATTGTACCACTGTGCTCCAATCTGGGCGACAGAGCAAGATTTGGTCAAAACAAAACAAAACAAAACAAAAAAACAAAACCAAACCAAAAAAACCAAAAAAAACCTAAATGACACAGTGCTGACGGTTCTTAACTTTTCTCCATTTAAATACTCTGGTACGGCTCCTGAAGAAACCGGATGGATCTTAGGGAATGCCAGTAGACTACTGCAACCTGAATTGAGCAGTAGCTTTCGTTACAGTTTCTGTGTGTGTCTAGAGCAAATTAATAAGACCTTCAATAACATGGCATGAGGGCATTGATTTGGTAAATATATTCTTCTCTCTTCTATTTAAAAAGGGGAGAAGAAACTATTTTCATTCATGTGGAATTGTCAACAATGTTTATTTACAGTTTTCCATAGGGCTAAGTTAGCTCTCCTTTTCCTTGTCATAATATTGCACAAAGAAATCTTGACCAGCTGGCCATTCCACAAAACATATTAACTCATTACATCTATGACGTCATGCTGATCATGTTACTGACAAAGCTGGTCCCCCAAAAGATGGGGCCTTTCCCCGTTTGGTGTCATGAAGCCAATACATTAAACCAAAAGCGAGTGTCAAGCAGTGCAGGTTTTATTTGATGGCAATGGAATTGAGAAGCAAGAGCATGACTCACAAATCAGCTTTTCGATGGGTGCGGGGAGATAGGGTTTCTCTAACGAAGGGTTTGGACATTAAAAGTGAGGGGAGGAATATTCATATTTTCTCCAGAAATGTGTGGTGAACTTCCAAGAGCCAGAGTGCTGCCTTCCTTTTTGCCTTTTAATGGCTTTTTCTGGCAATTGTCAACTGTCATGGCACTGGTGGGAGTGTCATTTAGCATAGAAATGAGATGATAATGAAGCCTGAGGTCTTTTTGTAGTCCTTTGGTTGGCTGTCTTCATTCAAACAGGACCTAGCTTGTCTGGTTATAAAGGGGAATTTTTATTGCAAGCACCCTGCTCCTTAAAGATCAGCAGAGTTAGGACAGGGCGGAAATTCAGCTATGTCAAGTAGGCATTACACCAGGTAACAATCAGGCAGAATAAGAAAGAGATGGCTACTACCTTTGAGGCCTTGATAAGATACATGTCTATAGCAGGTGGAAAATAGATGTTGTAAAGATTCAGGGACCTGCCACTTCAGTAAAGTTTTTAGCAGTCCAGTGATCAGGGGCTTGTCAGAATATATATACCCTCCAAAGTAAGAGAGAAGCTGTAGCATTTTGTGTTTTCTATCATTAAAAACAAGTACAAAGCTTACCTAAGAGGTAGTCCTCTTTAGCTTCTGAAGGCATCTTATTCTGTACTTAGGAGTATGGCTCTCATCCATACGTTCAGTAACCTGAAAGACAGCCAGCTTTATAGAGCTGGGAGCAGGGAATGGCTCTGCAGCAGACCCAGGTGGTAGTGGAACCAGACCTACCCTTTGGACCATATAATCTTGCAGACACTGTGTATTGGAGATGCCAGTAGTGTTGAAAGATGATGTGTAGAGTTTATGGAAAGCCCCTTTAGGGGAATTATAATGGTGGTCCCCAATGTTCTGAAGTAAGGCTAAGTTACTACTAAGACCTAAACTAATTATAGTGGGCGATTATACACCATTTGAGAGACAGCTGTTAGTTTGTTACCATGCCCTGATAGAGACACTTTACCAAGAGGCAACAAATGAGTATGCATTCTTAATTGTACATGATGAATTGGATTCCTTGGACATATAAAGCTACAAAGTTAATTGGCTCCAGCAAATCTCCATTATGAGATGGAGAACATACATTGGATAGTAAATCTGATGAGGACTAGAGCACATGAGTAAGATGCATGAGCAGGGAGCACAGATGACCTTGGCATCCACCACAGTTGTACCAGCGCCCCTTCCCAGTGTTACACGTAGTGATGCGCAGAGCTGTCATACAACCACCCTGAAGAAGGGGAGAAAGCTTGAGCTTGGCTTATGGATGCATGGGTTAAGTCAGTACCTGAGTGAAAGCACAAACATGAGCAGTGGCTGCACTGAAGCCACATTTAGGGTGATCTTGAACAATAGTAAAGGGGGAAAAACTTACCAATGAGTAAGGCTTCTAGCAGTGTATAAGTCATCAGCTTTATTTGGAAGAAATGGCTTGAGGTTATACATAGATTCCTTGCCCCTGGCCAGCATCCTCACCAGCTGATTAGGGGGCCTATGGGAAGGGGAGTAGGATATTAAACAAGAAGGACTTGGATAAAGGTATGGAAATGTATCTCATGCTAATGTCCACCCAGGAGGGTTCACCATGAAAGAGGCACTGAACACCAAGTAGAGAAAATGCTTGACTGGTTAACATTACATAGTCCTCATCATTGGCCACCCTGGAATTGAAACTCTGGACACCTGAAGGAGTGGCCACAACAGCAGAGAAGAAAGCTATTCACGGGCCCATCAGCATGGATTCTCACTTACCAAGAGCTGTCTAACTACCGCTGCACTTGGACATCCTACCTGTTTTGGGCAGCAGACAGAAAAGCTGAGCACTTGACATAGCACTGCTCCTTGAGAAAACCAACCAGCCATGTGGAGGCAAGCCAACTCTATTGTAAGGTTCATCCTCACAGTGACTGATAACTATTCTATCTATTCAGCTATGGATTTGCATTTCCTGCCAGCAGAGCCTCAGCCAGTTTCACTCTCTAGGGAAGTGAGGAAGGATTGACCCACAATCATGGGATCCCACACAACATAGAACAGACCAGGGGACCCACTTCACCCTGAAGCAGGGACATGAGGGGTATGACCATGGGGTTCCGTGGTCTCATTACACACCACATGAGTGACGTCTTTTTCCATCCCTCCACACTCTGCCTGAACATGGCTGAGCAGCATTTCTCAGCTCTGGGGAAAGAAAAGCGAGGGAATGTGGCAGTGTGTGCAGAAGTGTCCATCATAGATGAGCCACAATCAAGTGAGTTGGAGAAATGTGGCCTCATGCATACAGGTGACAAACCAGACAGGGCATATTCATCTGCAGGTTCTGGTGCATGTTCGAAGAGAGATGGGCATAGATTAATTATCCTTAGTCAGAAAGAAGGGCAGGCTTCATCTAACTCCTGACGACAACACTCCCCAGGGTTGAGAAGATTCCTATGCCTCTCCACCGTTACTTCCACGCTGAGTGCTTTGTACCTAATTATGTTACTCACGTTACCAGGCTAAAAGGGTTAGGCAGTGTAATCTAAATCTAGAGTTCTATGAAAAAAATAAAAGATTCATTTAAGTACATAATAGATTCTTATTTTTCTTAAACAATGCTGTAATCTCTGGAGATCTGCCTTAGTCTGATAAATACATCATATTAATAATGTAATGATGAGGCTATTAATAGAGTTTCTATCACATTTCATTTCTACATTCTGTTTCCTCAAAGCTATTCTGGAATTTGATGATAGCATTCTCCATGGGGGTTTGGTACTGGTATTGCCATGTTGATGAAAATGTCTCATTAAGGTATAATTTCTTTGTTATTCTTTGACTGAATAAGGGACAGGATACCCTTATGTTGTGAGGATCCATTCTAAATACATAATTGTTTGCCCACAACATTAATAGTAGTAGACATATTAAAAAATATGAGTATTATAGCACATAAGAAAATTACGCCTATTGTCTGAAAATGTAAATAAGTATTATTTACATTATGAAATAATGAAGGAAAGGCAATAAAATGTGTTGAATACTTGCCATATACTAGGTGTTAAACAAGGTGCTACTATATTTTATCACATTTAATTTTTACAACTATTCTGTAAGAAAAGCATTCTTGCATTCAGTCTAAATCTTAAACATACACACATGCACACACACACACACACACACACACACACACACAGAATGAGAATGAGAATTTAAGAAATTTTCTTACCCTTGATCTCCTAGTTCGATAGTAAGATAAACTTTAACTCACATTTGAGTTCATTATTGTCTGACTCTAGCTGCTGTATTATCTTTTGCATCATGTTGACTAAAATATTTTTCAATATGACACAAATGAAAAAGTGAAACACAAAAGTGTCTTTCATAGTCCTACATCAGAATGAAGGCATTATATTATGGTGGGAAAGCCAGGATCCAACTTATTCTCACAAACTGACACGTGAAGAAGTTCGAAGATTAAATACACCTGTGGAGAGGCATTCAATAGGATTACAGTGTGTGATTTTGGGCCATGGCCTCCAAAAACTCGGAAAAGCATTTCATCTTGGTAGTTTATAGATACTGTCATCAAACAAGGCAGTTTTAAATTATTTTTAATATTTTATTAATACAATTTCTAAAAATACTGACAAAACATGACAGTATATTAATATGAACACTCATATATATGACAGCTATGTTTTACCATTAACATTTTGCTGTACACATTTTATAACATATCAAAATACTAATTCATTATTTTATCCACCCATCATTCCGTCTTGAATTTTTAAGTCATTTCAATGTAAATTTCAGACATCTGTCTACATCTCCCTAAATATGGAAGCATGAATATAATTAACTAGAAGACATTTTAGAGCTCTTCTTTTAATATGCAACTTACGTATAATGAAATACACAAATCTTAGGTGTATAGTCACTGCATTTTAAAAAATGCATATACCTGAATACACAAATCTTTATCAAGAAATAGAACATTATTATAATCTCAGTTTCCTCATACCTCTTCCCAATCTATCTCAGATATCAACCTCCAAAAGCAACTGTTCTCATATTTTTAGATTTGTTTTGCCAGTTTTAGAATTTCATATCAATTGAATCATACAGTATATAGCTTTGAAGCTTGTTAATGTTGCTAGGTGTATCAACAGTTGGTTAATTTTTATGACTGAGTAGAGATCTATTGTATGACTGTAATACTGTATAGTATCTACTACTGTTGACAAATTTTGGGAGTTATGAATAAAGCTGATGTAAATATTATTTAAAAACTCCTTTTGTGGACATAGGTTTTTACCATTCCTGGGTAAAGCCCTAGGATTGGAATTACTGGGTCACAGTGAAGGTTATGTTTTGATTAAAAAAAACTGTCAGAACTAATTTCAAAGTGGTTGTATCATTTTACATTCCCCTCAACAATGTATTAAAATTCTTCTTGCTTTATATCCTTCCCAATATTTGGCATTATACATCTTTTTAAAAATTTTTTGGCCATTTGGTAGATGAATATTGGAATCATTTTGTGGTTTTAAATTTGTATTTCCCTGAAAACTAATGATGTTGACTACTTCATATCCATGCTTATTTGTATTAATATATCTTTTTCTTATGAAGCACCTACTCAGTGTTTTGTTCTCTTTTATATTTGGTTTGTCATTTTTTATTATTTGATTATAGGATAACTTTATATATCATCTATGTGAGTTTCTTGTCAAATGTATTTTTGCCAGTATTTTCTTTTAGCCTGTGACTTGCCTATTAATTTTAATAGTGTCCTTTGATGAGAAGTGTTTTTAATTTGGTAGTGCATAATTTACTGTTTCTAAAGTTGTTGCTTTCTGTGGCATACAAAATGTGTTTTTTTGGTCTAAAAATTTATGATTTTATCTTTTTTGTTTGGGTCAGTGATTGCTTCCTTAATCTCTAGAGTACATAAATGTATGTCATTTAATTTCTCATTTAAAAGTTTGGTAATATTTTATTATGATTCTGTTTTGTATATTTTCTAATTTTCCTGTATTCATCTTTGAACAATAGATTATATAAAAATGTGTGGCTTAACTTATTAATAGTTTGTATAGGTTCAGTATTTTTAAATGTATTGACTTGTTTTATAAACTGTCTTCCTGAAAGTAGCATGTAGGCTTGAATATATTGTATTCTGAAGGTATTGGTTGTAGTGTTCTAAAAATGTCGGTTAAAGGTGGCTGACAGTATCATTCAGAGCATTTATGTTTATACTGATGATTTTTGTTTTATTAATTACTGAGAGAGTGGTGATACTATATCCATTATAATCATGAAATTATGTTTCTCAGTTTTTATTCATGTATTTTTGTTAGGCTTACATATATTTATTATTATTATATATTCATGATAAATTGACCCTTTTATCAGTGTGAAATACTCCTCTGTATCGATGCTAATGTACTTTCTTTTAAAGTCTCTTTTATATAATATTAATATAACCACCCGTCTTATTACACTTCCTCTTTGCATGATGTTACTTTGTTCATTCGTTATCTTTCAGTGTATATTTAATTCAACATTTAGAGGTTATCTTTGAAAATAGTAGATTGTGGGTTCTTGTTTATTCTATCAGACAATTTCTAAATTTTAATTGGAGTTCTTAATACATTAACGTTTAATGTAATTGCTTATATAGTTACTTGAGCTCTACCATCTTCTGCATCTCCCTCTGTTTTTTTCTGTCTTGCTGTTGCTTTTGTTCCATTTTTGTTCCATGCAAAACTTCTATGTAAACATTTTCTGAATTGTATTTTTAAATTTCTCTCTCTTATTTAAAATATTTTAATAGTTGTTTTAGTGATTAACTATATATTCTTAAACTTACAGGGTTTTTTTAGAGCTACAAAATAACTTTAAAATATAAAAAACATTTATATAGTCCATTTGTGCTATCATTGTCATTTATATCTGGCTTTATCTTGACACATATCTATATATAATTAAATGTAAGATTATATTATTTTAATTTTTGCTTGAAGTAGTAATTTGTATATTGTAGAATCTAGTTGAAAAATATCCTTTTATATATACTCAGCTTTTGCTATTTCTGAGTTTCTTCATTTCTTCCCAGATAACATTTTTAACTGGATGATGTTCCTTCAGACTGAAGAATTTCCTTTACTAATTATTTTAGTTCAAGTCTTCAGTTGAAGCATATGCTTAGTGTTCCTTCATTGGAAAATAGATTTAGTTTTTCTTAATCCTTAAGTATTTTTGCTGAACACAGAATTTTAGGTTACTTATCAGTTTTCATTCATTCAGGACTTTTAAGGTGTTATTTCAGTATCGTCTGGAATTAATTATTAAAAAGTCTACAGATATTCAAATCATTGTTTTCCTGTATATAAAGTATTTTCCTCTGGTACTAGTTTTAGATTTCTAGCAGTTTGATTATGATGTGCTGAGGCAGAGTTTTCTTTGTATTTATTCTACCTGGGATTTGCTGAACTTTCTGAATATGAAAATTTAAATCTTTCCCTAGGTTGGGGACATTTCTGATCATTAATCCTTCAAATATGTTTTCTATCTCATTTCTTTCTCTCTTTCTGAGGCTGCAATTATTTCTGTTATTGTATTTTTAGTTTTAAAATTTATATTTTATTATTTTTATAATTTCTTTTTTATTAAAATAACTATGTTTAAATATTTAACTTCTAATTCCAACACATGTGTCATTTCAGTGTCATTTTCTATTGAGTGTATTTTCCTTTTCAAATGGGTCACATTATCCTGTGTTCCCATGTGTCAAGATACTTTGAATAGTATCCTAGACATTGGGTATATAATGTTATAAAGACTCTAGATTCTGTTTATATTTCTCTGAAGGGTGTTGATTGATTTCTTTTAGCATGCAATTAAATAACGTCAAAAAAGTTTTTTTGTAAATATTGAATCATTTCAGAGATTTGCAGTCCTGGGGTGAAGTTAAGTCCTCTTATTTGTTTCATTCCACCACTCCCCCACCCCCCGCCACATTTCCTCTCTTGTGATAATTTAATCTTGACATACTACTGAAGCTTAAAGCAACTCTATTTATAGGTTATTATCATTTTCTATAGAGGTAGAATGATAGCATGAGTAACTTCATGAATATAATGCTCCAACATTAAGCTTTTAGGAAAGTCATGCTGGCCTTAGCAAACTGGAAGCCAATAGTACTTGATATGTGAGAATCCTGGATTTTCCAATGAATGTTTTTCATAAAATTTGAAAAGTATTTAGCTATTATTTCTTCAAATTAATTTTCTTTGATGTTAAGTGGTAATTTGCAAAACTCAACATCTGGGTTCATTCAAAGTCAATTTCTATTGACTATTGTTTAGCTGAGTGTGGGCCATGCTCTCATTTCTTTGCATGTCTTGTAGTTTCTAGATAACTGAATATTTAAAATCATATCTTGTAGGAACTCTGAATTTTGTGTTTTCCTTTCTCTGAAATTTTTGGGTTTTGTTCTTGTTTTGTTTAGTAACATGAGCTTTACTTTAAATTCTGTCTTCTTCGTGATATGCATTCACTGATGTCTCTGGTGAATTTTTCTGATTATTTTTATTTCTAACTCTGTGTACCTAAGTATCTTACCTTTGTCTGAATTTTTGTAGTCACCCAATAGTTTTGGCAGAAATAATGCTCAAATATCTTAATCCTGTAATACTTTCAACTTCTGCCACCCAGACTATTTGGGATGAGTAATGAATTCAAAGTTCAAGTCAGTTCTCAAGTTTTCTTTGTCAGTGTCCCTTGCATCTTCTTGACATGTGCATAATTCAGCCATTCTAGGATCTTCCCATTAAATGTCTTACTGGTTCCCTCTGCTCTCTTGAACCAGGACAACAACCTAAGTCTAGCTAAGCTGTGGGTATTTTTTTTTTAACCCGTTAAAATAAAACAGCTTTGATGATAAAATAGAAGACTTTTAATAATTAAGTTTCTTGATGATAAAATAGAAGACTTTTAATAATTAAGCTTCAAACAACAAACAAAAACTAACACTGTATTGGGTAAAGAAGATAAATGAATATCTATCTAGAGGTGACATTTTATGGTAGAGGAGCACAGAACAAAGAAAATAACTCTTAGTTTTATTGGGATACGTAAGTCAAACACAAGAAAATTGATAGTCTTGATACAACATTTTTTCAACCAAACTAAAAATAAAACTGTTTTATAGACCTTTCTGAGATCTATTTTTGAGTATCCTTGTCTTAGAAATCTCTGTCTTCACTGTTATCACCTTTTTAACCCAGTATTTTTATGGTGTCAATGAGCTAAACTAATTTAAGTGAGTAAAACCCACACTTGTTTGGAGTATATATCATTTGAGGACTCATTTGAGGACTCTTTCTCTACATATGTAATATGTAATAAATCACTTCATACATATGTATAAATCACTTCATACATATGTAATATG
Organism: Homo sapiens; assembly: GCF_000001405.40. Taxonomy (NCBI): domain Eukaryota; kingdom Metazoa; phylum Chordata; class Mammalia; order Primates; family Hominidae; genus Homo; species Homo sapiens. The sequence goes on along the minus strand of NC_000010.11, from coordinate 9,748,735 downwards.
TAATAAATCACTTCATACATAATGCCAAATTTTCTTTTAGTATTTTTCTTTTCTTACCAATTTAATTTAAGTTTAAGAATGTTGCCGATGGTCTCTAGTTCTGTAGCTTCTTTAGAGAAACCGTGAAATTATTCCCTGGGAACTCTTCTTGATGGGAATCTGTGTTTGGAATTGTCCCTTATAAACTGTTATCTTTGTAGCTTCATTAATCCTCTCTGAGGTCTCACAGTTTAGAATTATTACAGGTATTAATTTACCAATTTAGGATGGAGGCAAAAGAGTTGTGGCTAATCTACTTTGTAGAAATATCCTCGCTCCACATTTGCCACTTGGATTTTTATATTAGTAAAGTTCCTCTGAATGTAAAAGGAGGAAAAGATAATGTATTCATTATTTTTCCTATAAGAATTTTCTTATGTTTTTATCAGAGAGATACAGTGATTACTATAACCTATCAATTCAGTAATTTATCCTACCATAGAGTTTTATTTATGGGAAATAAGAGAATGTCTTGTCTACTACACAACATGATCCCTACAAGTAGAATTTATTTAAAGACTGAAAACAACCTTTGGAAAATTTGATACAACTATCTTTTTTTCATAAATCAATGATAACATTTCACCAATTTCAGTTCAACTGTGACACTGTTTTTATTGGTTTAAAATGTCATTTTTGCTATTTTAATGAGTATATAAAAGATGCTAAAATGAGAGGAAAAACACTTCAGCCTCTGGTAATGCCTATAGAAATGAAAATTAAATGAAACTATTCTACTTCATTATCATCTTGGTATTTAGGACTATTTTAACAACTGACATAGATCAATACTCAGCCAGTTCAATCATTTGCTATACAACTATTAACACACTTAAAAATTCTGCCATCATTTTAATGATCCCTTAACAGCAGCAATCATAAATTATATGAGTAATTATTTAAAGTAAAACATAGCACAGTATCATAAATCTAGTCTCACTTTGTCCTTAAAACCTCCAAATGAAAATCAGTTACCAAAAGGTATCTCTGGGGAAATATCATGTCAAACCCATGTATGTTAGAAGTCCAGCCCTCATCCACCATTCATATAGACATCTTCCACATTGTAATGACATGGGTTTGATAGAAAAATAATAGTTTACCAAAATTAACCATTCAGTTCAATGAACTGCTATATTGATTCCTGAAATTGTTTAATATATATCTCTTACAGAGTATGATGGTTAGTTTTAAAATTTTAGATTGCAAGAGTAACTTAGGAGTAAAAATACAAGTATGAAAGAAATACATGGTATTTCATATCATTTCATCTGTAATAAAAAAGATGTGAAAACCTGTTTTCCATGTGAAACAACTTGCATTTAATTCTGATTTATATGTTTATGACCAATTGTATTCAAAATCTGTAAACACCGCCCCCATACCATTACTATTCCATATCTTTTTTCCTTTTTTTGTATTTTTTATTTTATTATATTTAATCGACATATAATCATTGTACATGTTTATGGGGTGCATACTGATGTTTTGATACATATAATGATAGTGGTCAGATCAGGATAATTAACATATTCATCATCTCAAACATTTATCCTTTCTTTGTGTTGGGAACATGCCATATCCTCCTTTTTTTAGCACATAGTTAAATATGAACTCTGCTCTACTTTGCTATTTATATTCATACCATTTTTGTTCATTTGGATTCAGATTTTGCCTTCCATGCACTATCTGTAGATTTAAAGTTTGCCCTATATTCAGTTACCCTTAACACTGCAAGATAACCTGCAGAGGTTCATTGAGTTAGTAAATCAGTATTCACATACTAAATTTATTTTCCTGAGTTAAGCAATTACTCAGTTTTCCCCTCAAAGGATCTCTACAGATGTCTCAAATGTCTCTGTATGTGGGAAAATTTTATTAAGATATCACATAACATTTCTTGAGAATTTAATCAGTTATTTATAGTATTTCCTTTTTTTTTCTTTGCAAATGTGTTTCTATCATCACGTTTTGTACTTTTTCTATATCTTAACACACACAGAGGTATCTAACTCGATCTTTGGACTTTTATTTTCTGAATTCAGGAGCTCTGGTCTGGAGGTAATGCTTCATTTCTAAACAAGATTTCAACTTTTCCAATAATATTCCACTTTAAATCCATAATATTGTGAGCTTCTTATTTATAAAAATATAAAATATATTAGTAGAAATTAAAGGCACTCTTACTGTATAATTAGTGGACAAGAAAAATACTATTTTTATTTATTTTTATTTTTATTTTTGTTATTTTTGAGGCCGAGTCTTGCTCTGTTACCCATGCTGGAGTGTGGCGGCACAACCTTGGCTCACTGCAACCTCTGCCTCCCAGGCTGAAGGGATTCTCATGCCCCAGCTTCTCAAGTTGCTAGAATTACAAACGTATGCCACTTTGCTGGGTAATTTTTGTGTTTTTAGTAGAGATAGGGTTTCACCCTGTTGACCAGGCTGGTCTCGAACTCCTGGCTCAAGTGATCCACCCACGTTGGTCTCCCAATGTGCTGGGATTTTAGTTGTGAGCCACCATGCCTGGCCTACATTTACTTTTTTTGAGATATTTTGATATTGTGAGATTTTATTTAAAGATACCTTCATTTTGGATAAACAGTTAAAAATCAAACAGTAATTTCTAGATAATAAATAAAGTTTTATCAGAGAAAGAGTTACCATGAAATAGTTTATACTTGATAACCCTTCAATAGATGTCACAGAATTAAGAACATTATACAAATGTGTGTCACTAAGAAATAAATTGACTAGTGGGACTTAATTAAAATTAAAAACTTTTATGTAAGAGTCACCGTTAAGATAACCAAAAGATAAGCCACAGACTGGAAGAAAATATTTACAAAATAAATATGATATAGGATTTGTGTTCAAAGTGTATAAAGAACTATTAGAACTAAACAATTAAAAATGAACAATCTAATTAAAAAACAAGCAAAAGATATGAACAGATATCCCAACAAATAAGATAGATCACTAATAACCATATGAAAGGATGCACCATATCCTATGTCATTAGTGAATTGCAAATTTAAAAACTAAAACATCACTACACACCTGTTAGAACGGCTAAAATCCAAAACATTGACAAAACTAAATGGTGGGGAGTGATGAGAAGAGGGAAACCTTACTCATTGCTGGTGGAAATGCAAAGTGACACAGTCACTGTGAAAGAGTTAACATTTTCTTCCAAAACAAACATAGCCCATAGCCTTACCATATGATATGGTTTTCCTCTGTGTCCTCACCCATATCTCACTTTGAATTGTAATAATCCCCATGTGTCAAGGGTGGGACCAGATGGCATTAATTGGATTATGGGGGCAATTTCCCCAAAGCTGTTCTTGTGATAATGAGTGTGTCTCACAAGATCTGATGGTTTTATTAGCATCTGGCATTTCCACTGTTTGCACTCACTTTGTCCTGCCCTCCCATGAAGAAGGTGCCTGCTTCTCCTTTGCCTTCTGCCATGATTGTAAGTTTCCTAAGGCCTCCCCAGCCAGGTGTGACTGTGAGTCAATTAAGCGTCTTTCCTTTATAAATTACCCAGTCTCAGGTATTTCTTCATAGCAGCATGAGAATAAACTAATATACCACATGATTCCGTAATTGGACTCAACTGAGTTGATAAATTATGTCCACCCAAGAATCTCACCTGATGGTTTATTACCATAAATTATAGTTTTATTTATAATAACTAAACCTACAAACAACGAGGATGTCTTTCAGAAGGTGAATAGGTAAACTGTGGTATATTTAAACAAGGGAATATTATTCAGTGATCAAAAGAAGTGAGCTATCAAGCTGGGAAAAAACATGACTGTACCTTAAATGCAAATTGCTTGGGTTAAAGAAGACAGTGTTAAAAGTCTACATACTGTAAGATTTCATTTTTATGACATTGTAAAACAGGTAAAACTATACAGACAGTAAAAAGTTCAGCATCTTCCACAGGTTTTGGGGGATGAGTGGGAGAGAGTTGTATAGGTGAATTATAGGAAACTTTTAGGAAAGTGACACTATTCCTTATGATATGGCAATGGTGGATAAATGACACTGCAATTGTCTCAACCCGTAGAATATTACAGGACAAATATGTACATTGTTGTATGTAAACCGTAAAATTAAAAAAAAATTACGAGGTCAGGTATCCCTGAAAAGAGCACAGGCTGTGGTAAGAGAATCTAACTTTATTACTAATGTATGAAGCCATCTCACTGAAGGGGGTGGGGGAAAAAGTGCTGACCTTATGTTACTAAGAAATTATTACACTTATTACCTGGATAACTTATTAATCTATACACCAAATCCCCATGACACACAATTTACCTAGATAAAAAACCTGTACATGGACCCCTGAACCTAAAATAAAAGTTATAGTAAAAATAATTAATTGAGCTTATAAAACTAATGGCAAAATAAACTGTATATAAAGACTGCATTCTAGTCGGTAAAGTTTTCCATGAGAATACAGGTTAATAGTTCTGATACTGCTCTACTCTTATACTCCTATACTTGAATTGAACAACTAAGTAACTGGAAGTGTTCACAACAAACGAATAAAAACTCCACATTGATAAGGCTATGTGAAAGAGACATAGGGACCAACTGAAGAGCTCCCATTAGCCAAAGCCAAAATAGTTTCAGCAAAACATGAAATAGTATTAGATTATAACACAAGCTATAAAATAAATATCCCTCAGTCCATGCTCATGTAAATAAGCTTAGAAACAAATGAAGAAGACACAAGTCTCACAACATCAGAATTCCAACTAATTTATGTAGGCATATACACTCAAGGAGGGGCAGCCTGCTTCCCCATTCCTTTAGTGAGAGCTGTACTACATAGTGACTTCCTGACAAAGAGAGCAGCTGGCAAGCAGGAAACCAAAACTTGATAAAAAGGATCTCTGTCAGGTTGCTACAGTCAATTTCAACAGTAATAAACTATGTTTAAAGAGTGTAACTCTATGATGTGATTAAAAATGGCTCTTTACCTCTTCATTCCTCTTTCTCAAAACTGAGAAACATGTGAGAGAAAACACTAGACAAATTTCAACAGGGGGCATCCTACAACAACTGATCAATACTCCTTAAAATTGTCTATCATTAAAAACAAAATTCCGAGAAAGTGTCACAGCCAAGAAAATAATGTCTAAGGAGACATGGCAACTAAATATAATCTGGTATCCTTGATTGGCTCTTGGTAGGTAAATACTTTAAAAATCTGGGTAATGTGTGGACTTTAGTAATAATCTATCAACATTGCATCATTAGTTGTATTATATGTACCGCAGTGGATTTTATATGGACCATAATATATAAAATGTTAATAATAGGGAAAACTAGGTGACAGGGTATGTGGGAACTCTGTACCATCTTATCCATTTTTTATTAAAATTATTCTTGGACACAGGAAGGGGAACATCATACACTGGGGCTTGTCATGGGGTGGGGGTAGGGGGCAACGATAGCATTAGGAGATATACGTAATGTAAATGATGAGTTAATGGGTGCAGCACACCAACATGGCACATGCATGCATATGTAACAAACCTGCACGTTGTGCACATGTACCCTAGAACTTAAAGGATAATAATTAAAATAAAATAATTCTAAAAAATAATTTTAGAAAATTTTAAAAAATTAAAAAAATTATTTTTAAATTATTTTAAAACATTTAGTTACATTTCCACTTGTAAAAGGTATCTTTTATTATTTCCTGGATAAATTTCTTGGATAACAGTTGTAATTTTTTTTCTTCAATACTTTGAGATTTTACCTATTGTTGTATGGCATCCAATGTCTGTGAGGAAAAGGAAGCTTTAATTTGTACCATTATTTCTCTCTATATAAAATGTGTTTTTCCTACCCTAACATTCTGGTTGCTTTAAAGGTTTTTCTTGAACTTTATTGTAAGCTATATAGGTACGTGTGATTTTAATGATATTACATGTGATTTTAATGATATTATCTTTTGTTGGTTTGCTGAACTTTTGAGATCTGCAAGTTGATGTTGCATGAATACATTAAGCCATTATTGCTTCAAATACTATTTTATGTTCCCTTGTTTCTTTATTCTTCTTCTGAGACTCAAATTAAATTGATGTTAGAGCATTTGATATTCTGTTATTGTATTAGAGTTTAAGTTCCTGTTCCACTTCTGTTATTCAGATTGTAAAACTTGTGTTTATCTTAGATTTTTTTCTTCTCCATCTGCTGTTAATACTGTCATATCAAATACCGTATTTTTCACATCTATAATTTTTATTTTTTAAATATTTGAATCTCTGCTGAGAAATTTAACTCATTTTGATTATCTTTTCATGTTTTAGTTTTCATTTCTTATTTTCAACATTACTATCATCTTTTGGTCTGTTTCTATTGACTACTTGTTCTCTTTATCTTGTGTTATATTTCTATTGTTTGCATCTTTATTCAGCTATTTCTGATTGATATACTTGACCTTGTATATGATACGTGGTTAAATATTGCATTAGTCTGTCCTCACACTGCTAATAAAGACATACCCACGACTGAGTAACTTATAAATGAAAGAGGTTTAATTTACTCACAGTTCAGCTTGGTTGGGGAGGCCTCAGGAAACTTACAATAATGGTGGAAGGGGAGGCAGGAAGGAGAAGATTGAGAGCTGAGTGAAGGGGGAAGCCACTTTTAAAACCATCAGCTCTTGTGAGAACTTATTCGTTATTACTATTATAGTATGGGGGAAATCACTCCCATGATTCAATTACCTCCCACTAGGTTCCTCCCACTACATGTGGGGATTATGGGAACTACAATTCATGATGAGATTTGGGTGGGATTCCATTTTTATCTTCTCAAAGCTACCATTTTGCTTCTTGTGGACATTTAAATTACAGGTTGATCATTTCTCGAAGTTTGGATTTACATTCCATTATGTCAGATCACTTTTACCTTATTCCAAAGACATAGACTTACTCCTAAAACAAGGCCTTTTAGGAATTCTATCTGAAAGTTCAAGGTGTTTACTTACCCCTCTAACTAACTCAAATTTCTGTCTTTTGTGGTAAACAGCAGTTTTATAGGTGCTGAGTTTTGTCATTTTTTTTGGTTATTGCTCTCCTACTTGGATTACCGCAATACTTGTAAAGTTTAGGAAACACCCAAGGATTTGAGAGTGGTTTGTTTGCCAGTTTTAGAGGTTTCCCTATGGGGATTCTTCTCAAGATTTTCTCCCTCAATTTCAGATGTCTCTAGTAATTCTGATCTCTGTTCTTTTGATATTTAAATTTAGAAAAAGGACTCCAACTCTTTGCTGGAGGTAACACCTTGAGAAGTGCAGACCAGAAGTGGCCTCAGTGGAAAAATTATAGAACAATGCCATTCTTGTTTAAGAGGCCAATTTTCCTTTCACTTTTGCATAGTTATGGTCACCTTTCAGGTTTCGTGTGTGTGTCTGTGTGCGTGTGTGTGTGTGTGTGTGTGTGTGAAATCAAGTTCAATACTAAAGAAAAGGAATAAAAGAATGGCTACTCAATAGGCAGAGCAGCCTCCAGTTATTTTTATAATTTTTTGTAATTTTCTATTTCTACTACATTTTATAATTGTTATATATGGGATGTTTATTTTGATACAAGCCTGTCATCTCTGAAACTATAACTAAGTTTGATAGCCAAAATTTCTATATTTTTCTATTTTTTTTCTCTCTCTTGACTTCTCTCTAATTTTCTCAGTCCTGTATTTTAGCCCACCTATTACTTCTCCCAGTGGGGGTTCATCTGGTTAATTAATCCATTGATTTGTTTTTAAATTTCAGTAATAATATTTCAATTTGTAATAGTTTTAGTTGTTTTTTTCAAATATGATTCCTAACTTTATATTATCTTCTTCTCCTGTAGTACATCCATGTTTTTATTTATTTAAGGAAATATGCTAAAATATGCTTATGTTATATATTGTATGTATTACTTCTAATAACTTTGGTTGTAGCACACCATTTACTATGGTATTTAGTTTCAGCTCATTCCTGTTCATAATGAATTGTTTCCTTATTTGCTACATACAGATTTTTAAAAATCTGAACTTAGACTCTTTGGAATTGTGTGTTTGTGCTCTAGATTCACATGATATTTCCCAGGAAATTTGTATTTGCCAATTCCATGGTCCATATATTTGTCAAGTTCATGGATTACTACCAATTCAGACAAAGTCAATTGAAATTTTTGTAATAGAGATTTTTAGCACATGTAGTAGTATAAATATTAGCCATAGCCCTCATAGAAATCCGAAAGTTTTTTCTTCTTTCTGAAGAAAAGTCAGTTAAACATTCCCCAAATTTCTGCATCCAGAGACAGCTTTTTCCTAGTTCTCCTATTAAAATTGTTGCTTTTCAGTTATTTTGGGTCTGTGTGTGATTCTCTGGTTTATTCCCACCTTGCATGAGGTTCCAGGGATTTTCTCCTATCTCATGCACATGTAAAGATTATTTGTCGCCTCCTTGAAAACAAAACTTCAGTGCTTGTGTTCTTTCATGGATATATGCATTTTTATAATATCTGACCTCCAAAGATCTCCCTCATTTTCTTACCAGACTAATAATATATTCAGTTAATTTACACACACACACACACACACACACACACACAGATATGTTAACAAATACCTAATGTTCTCTATACTAGAAAAATTCCTGCAATAATTTTCCTTTCTAATTTTTGCCCAAAATGGAAAACCTAAAAAATGTAGATTTATAAAATGTTTTAATTTCTATGAGACATTGTCAGTATAGAAATGATACTAACTTATTTTGAAAATGTTAATTTACATTTAAATTAATGTATTTTTTTCAATAAATGCTTATTGAGACCCTCTTATTGCAAGGCACTGTCTTGTGGCTGAGGTAAACATGCTTACTGTCTGATAGGTAAACAGGGCTTACTGCCTGATAGGTAATAGCTATTAAAGCAATTACACAAAAAAGTATTTGAATATAATTGTGATAAATATGCAAAAGGTAAGGTATAGGGAAATAAAGGAACTGAATTGAGTTAAGAACATAAAGGGCCATTTAAACTGAGATGCAGAAGTGATTAGGGGTTAGCCAGTCAAATAAGGAGGAAGTTATAATTTATTTAGAAGAAACAGTGCTTGTAAAGCCATTGAGTTTAGTAGAAAGTGAACAAGTTTAAGACACTGAAATACAGGAAAATTGGTGGGAGATGAGAATAAAATGATAGCTAAGAGCGAGATTATTGATTTGTTGATACTGTTGATTTTAATTGTATTAAACTTTAACCTTCCTCCATATAATCATGTATTTATTCATTCAGTCAGCCATTGATTTAGTAATTCATTATTTACTTGGCTTTACTAAGTATCGGGTACCACTATAGGAAATGAAATTACAGTGCTTAACAAGACTGAGGGAGTCTCTGCCATATGTGAAATGAGTATTGGGGGACCCTAGACTACACATGTTAACAAATAAGTATGATAGATATCAATTGTAATTCTCCTTCTGGTCCCAATCATTTTGCCTATCAGAATAATAATTCTGAGAAAACGCTTACACCAAAATTTTCTGTAACTATGGACTTATTCCATAAATGCAAGATTATATAGAGACTTGAATTATATGATCATAGCCAGTGTTGGTATATTCTAGTACAGTTGTACCAGTAATTTATGGCTGGCCTTATTTCTGATTGGTATATATCTATGCTATACTATATTTTAAATATTCTGGATATGTTTAGTGTTCTTGCTGCAAGATGAATGTTATATTTTAGTAGATTTATTTAAAGTCCATTGTAGTGGTCCACAGGAGAAATGATGGAGTTTGGATTTGGAGCTGGTTATATATGCATGGAAGGTGAGCAGATTAAGCCCTATTTAAGAGAGAGAATCAATAGAACTTGATGACATTAAACAGAAATGGATGTGAACTATAGACCTCTTTTAAGATACCACCTGGTTTCTGGCTTATACAACTTTATGTATGTTTAAAATAAGGTAAAAATTAGGCCATAAGAAGAAGACAAGAAGATACTCCACATGTGTTTTTTTTCACAATATATGTTAAATAGAATTGTCTTTTACTAACCTAAAGGTAATACCACACAAGGTTTTCCACTGCTCCATGCTGTGAGTGTTGTAGGTTGAAAGTTAAAAAAAAAATAGGAGGTTTGAATAAGTCTCCAAAATTTCACGTGTTAGAAACTTAATCCCAAAATTAATATGTTGATAGTATTTGGAGGTGGGGCCTTTGGGAGGTAATTATGATTAGATAAAGTCATCAGGTTATGGCCTCGTGATGGGACTAGTGGCTTTATAAGAAAAAGGAGAGAGACCTGAGCTGGCATACTCTTTCCCTCTTACCATGTGAGGCCCTCCACCATGTATGTTATATTCCAGCAAGAAAGCCCTCACCAGATGCAGGCCCTTGATGCTGGACTTCTCAGCCTCCAGAACTATAAGAAATAAATTTATTTTCTTTGTACATTATTCGGTTTGTGGTACTCTGTTACAGTGACAGAAAGCAGACTAAAACAATTATATTAAGGACACAGGAGCACAGTTGTTTCGGTGAGGAAAGTATATTGTTTTGAATGTGTTTGTTTGCTTTCAAAGCACTTGAGTATAGCCAATGAAGCTACTAATTAAATGGTTAGATTAATAGAGTGGTCTGAATTTGGGATCATCAAACAATATAGTCAAAAATTTGCTGTGAGAGAGAATTTAATTTCCCAAGGAGAGATAGTAAAGAGTATCTGGAAGAAGTCTGAAATCATATTTAAAAGTTGGGAAGGACAGAAGTGCTACCCAAGGCAAACGACAAAGAAATTAGGAAATTATGTTATCATTAAGCCAAGGAAATAGTTGCTTTTAAGAGTGGATGGTCAACTATCAAAGTTGAAGAGAGGTCAAATGAAATAAAAATTTATTTTTTAATTTTTCTATGAAAATGTATTAGTATCTGAAACATTGCCAGCACTTCTCTAGGTTATGATAATATGTAAGTTTTTTTGTTTTTGTCCTCAATTTTCTAAGAGAGAATGATAAATAACCAAGCATTTTGTATATAGTGTAAGAAATTACTATTAATATACCAAAGAATTTCTAGCATTAAGAAGAACTAAGGTCATTTAGCATTGCTGTCCGGCACGAGCATATGACTTAATTTTACTTTTTTGTGTGTGTATTAGATTATAAGGAACAAAATAATTCAGAATACTTTTTATTTTGTTATCATAATCTTATTTTGTGTAATTGTCTAACATAACATTTCATAGATTTTAGACACAAACTTAGCCATCAAATACCTTGATATGGTCCACAGGGAAAAGGTATACTTAGAATCAGCTGATTTTAAAGAAAGGTAGAATTTAGTATTTTTATTATCTGTGCTTGACAAGAGAAGAAATATGGTTTTAACTGAGATCAGGAGTTTGTCAAAATATCCCGGATTATTTGTTGCTTGAAAGCTGGGACTGTGCCTTTTTCATAAATTGGCATTAATTGCTAGGCTTAATGCATGGTTGGAATTCAAATGAAATATTAATCGAAGAAAGTATCTGTTGCTATACAAAGCAGGAGAAAATATAGCCATCTTCTAATACAGTTATTGTCTGTGTTCATGATAAAACCACTACATTGATAAACAGCCATCAATCTCAAACTAAACTATCATATTATATACTAATGGTCATATTATTTTTACAACACAAGGATTTAAATTAATAGGCTGGGCATGGTGGCTCACACCTGTAATCCCAGCACTTTGGGAGGCTGAGGTGGGCAGATCTCTTGAGGTCAGGAGTTTGAGACCAGTCTGGCCAAGATGGTGAAACCCCCTCTCTACTGAAAAAAAAAAGTACAAAAATTAGCTCGGTATGGTGGCATGCACTTATCGTCCCAATTACTCAGGAGGCTGAGGCAGGAGAATCACTTGAACCCGGGAGGTGGAGGGAGCAGGTTGCTGAGGTCGTGCCACTGCACTCCAGCCTGGGTGACAGAGTGAGACTCTGTCTCAGAAAAGAAAAAAATACATGAATAAATAAATAAATATATAAATAAAAACATAAAATAAATAAATGTGATGTACTAATTGTTACGATAAATGCCCTGTTACAACCACATCATATGTTACTGATTGTGATATAAAGTATGTTTTTCTTAAGATGGTAATCTGTTGTAGGTACATTTGTTACGTGGTAGGCCTTGGAGGTTAATATATTTAACATTACAGTGAATATCATCAGTGATCCATGGAGAATCCATTGTTCAACAGTTTGTGATTTTGGGGAAGCATACATGTGAATAGAATATGCTGTAGGATGGAGCAGGGAGCAAGTCACTTAGGTGGCAAGTGTCTTCCATCACTTTTTGGAATAACTTAGCTACTTGCCCACTATCAATGAATATCAGATGAATTACAGAGCTACACTGCTAGATTTTATAACCTTATAGAAATTATAACAGGAAGGCTTGCATGAATATGGGGTTTGTAAAGCTCTTCAGATGTATCTTTCATACATGTCAAATATGAACAGTTATGGGAACTGTTATATTTAAGAGACATGCAAGAGAAATAAAGTAGAAAATAAAAATAAAAATTGTGCCTTCAGAAGGAAAGTAACAATATGATAACTGGATGTGTTCTCAGCCTGTGTTAATGAAGACACCTGTATTTTTAGGCCAGACTCTCGCTAGTAAAAATCATCAGCTTCTCTAAATAACAGAAGTGATAACACTGAGGTTAATTAACACTTTTTTTTTAAACTTCTAACCTATAACACTCACAGCATGAAGCAATGGAAAACCTTGTGCGGTGGTAACTTGTGGTTAGTAAGAAAAGACAATTCTATGTAATATGTATTATAAAAAAAAATCTTGTATTTGGAGTACCTTTTTACTGCCTTCTTGTTATGACCTGATTTTTAGGCAGTAAGAAGCATTCAATAATTATTAGTCTTAACACATATTTTATTAAATCAACACTTTTTGCAATATTGGTGAACATCAAGGAATCTCAAATTTGCTGGGTGCAGTGGCTTATGCCTCTAATCCCAGCACTTTGGGAGGCGGAGGTGTGTGGATCACAAGATCAAGAGATCAAGACAATCCTGGCCAACATAGTGAAACCCCGTCTTTACTAAAAATACAAAAATTAGCTGGGCATGGTGGCACGCACCTGTAATCCCAGCTACTCAGGAGGCTGAAGCAGGAGAGTTGCTTGAACCTGGGAGTCGGAGGTTGCAGTGAGCCGAGATGGCGGCACTGCACTCCAGCCTGGCGACAGAGCTGGACTCCATCCCAAAAAAAAAAAAAAAAAAAGACATCTCAATTTTATCTGTATTTCTCTCATTCATTTCTTTTCAAATCTCACTTATTTATTCTTTTCCCAAGTGCCTCAGTTTCCTTCTACAGAATGGGAATGCTAATCGGCACCCTAGCCTAGAGCACTAGAGTGACATAAGTGGGACAACATGTTTAATCGAGTTATAACAAATAAACATAAGGCAATTGTCTTTATAAAATCGGGTTACATCAGATGCTTAGAGCAAAATCAACTGAAGAGATGCTTTAGCCAAAACAGATGGCCTGAACAATAAGTAATGAATTATTGAGCATTAATTAATTATTTTCACTGTGAATAGATATTTACCAATGACTGACCATCATTTAAAACCCCACTTGAGTCAGACTGTCAGAATGGCTAGAATAAACTGTAACCCTAGTCCACATCTTTAGAAGAGTGGAGATTATGATAAAAAAAAAACTTCCCACTGAGTGTTATGTTACTAAGAAGAAACAAGGGAATGGCATTCTAATCAGCATTATTTTTGTTCTGGATATTTTGTTGCTGAGTATGCACACCTAGTGTGTTTTGAATTATTAGAATTTCATATTGTTACTAGTACAGTACTTGGAAAGAGAGAGGGAATGGGAACTTTCATCATAAAGGGAATAACAGATGATTTAAATGCCAGTAGGTTTGCCTGTAATCCCAGTAATTTGGGAGGCCAAGGCAGGAGGATCACTTGAGCTGAAGCATTTGAGACCAACCTGGGCAACATAGTGAGACTCTTTCTACAAAAAAATTAAAAAAAATATTAGGCAGGAGTGGCAGCATGAACTTGTAGTCTCAGCTACTCGAGAGGCTGTGAGGTGAGAGGATCACTTGAGGTTGAGGTTGCAGTGAGCTATCATTACATCACTGCACTCAAGCCTGGGAAGGAGTGAGACCTGTCAAAAAGAAAGAAAGAGAGAGAGAGGGAGAGAGAGAGAGAGAAAGAAATGGAGCAAGAGTTTTGTAATGCCTCCGTTTGACTGATTGCAGTCTGACTGATTTCAGTTAGATCCTAGGATAACGGATGGGTCACCTGAGCAGAGCGAGAGGTGTTACTGCTGTTTCTTGCTTTTTCTCTGTTAGAGATTAGGGTTTCGTTTCTGTTTGAGCTACTAGGATCACCCACACTTAGAACATCCTCTTTGTAGCAGCCTTGGACCATAATATTTTAGATGAATGTGAGAAGTTCAGAGCAAGTCAGATAGGACCCAAGAAGAATTATCTCCAGTGCTTTACTTAATTTCTTTCTGATGAAAGGTGACCAGCAGAGCAGAGGTTAACAAACCCAGAAGACATGATTAGGGCTATGTCTTTACTGTTGACCTGCATAACAGCAATAACAATGTGAATGCCTGGCATTCTTTGCACAGTTCCAAAGTAGGCAAGGTAAGCAGGATAGTTAATGTACAGGTGAGAAACCTGTTTCAAGGAATTCAGGTGGCTTGCCTGAGGTCATGCAGCTAGTAACAGTTCGGACAAAAACAGAGAGTCAGATTGACATAGTATCTAGAACACACTATTTGTCTGTTTGTTATGAATTTGATGGAGCAAATTTCATGTATCCTTAGGAAAAGCCATTAAACACATATTTCTTAAAGAGAATAGTATATGCCCTCACATGGTTATTGTATGCTAGATTGTTGACTTTATAAATCATTTTTTACTTTGTACTAACCTAATAATGTTACATAATTTACTATTATTTACAAGTAATATCTGTTAAAGTCTACAATGTATCAGCAACTGGGCTAATTGTCTCATACACATTATTGCACTTAATCCTACAACAACACTGTGAGCTACATGTTATTATTACAACCACTTTATTGATGAGGAAACTGAATTTAGGTAAGTTATTTAATGTACTAAGATCACATAGTATTATTTGAGCTGGAATCTGGAGCCAGGTCTGTCTGACTTCATCATATAATACTAGAAAAGTACAGATGTCATAGATATTCACGAATATTATGAACACATTGTCTCATTTCTTGCTGAAGATCTAGTCCTCCCACTCTCTGATTTTTATTACAACCTTAGAATGGGTTAAAAAAAATAAATAGCTGCCTTTAAATATAAGGAGGGTTTGCTTAAAAGCAGACAGATGGTTATTCTGCCACTCTTCTTCCTCTAAAGGGGAAAAGGCACAGAAACTATTATACATTATATATATTACCCATCACATATATTCATAATTCCTTCATTCTCTCTCCATCCTCTCTTCTCTCCCCCACAAGTAAATGCTGGTATCCTGACTGTATCCAGTTGCCATCAGGTAACAAAATGTTACATTTTAAAAGAAGTTTCAGAATTGGAAGTAATTCGGCAGCTGTTAACCATTCCTGACTCATCACGTAAGGATTATCTTTAATGACTCTTCTTATTAATGGCAGAAATGTTGAGATTTCAAGAAGCAGTCAGAAATATTTTATTCCAGCCACACTGTTCTGTATAAATAGCAGATCCATCGCTGTTGGCTAAAGAAAGGCAAAGGAAGACAGCAGAATGGTTCAGGGTGTCACATCAGTCTCGGCCCAGGCACTGCACAATCTGATGGTAATTTCTGAAACTGGAAAAGTTAGGTTTGCTACTGTCATTTTTGAAGAGCTTCTGGGCTCATTTTTTTTTGACAGATAAAGATCGTCAAGTGAGGCAGTTTATGCTTGCTTCTTCCTGGATCCTCTTTGCCCTGCTTCTGAACTTCTCAGAGTCACCCAAAATATTATATTTCAAGACTGCTACAAAGAGGATGCTGTAAGTGTTGGTGAACTTGACTACTGTCCCCTGAGCCATGGCTGCATGGTCAAGAGTGGTCAGAAACTGAACTAGATAAGGAATGTTACTTTTATAATGAAACCCGCATTGCCAACAAAGAAAAAGCAAAGGACAGCACAATGTCCTTTCACTCTGCTCAGTGACCTTTCTGGGCTCTTAGGATCTGACAATGGAATGAGAACACCACAGAAAGAGGCATCAAATATGGAAACAATTGTTTCTTCCATTTTTACCTCCATGATGAAACCTCCTGTTTTCTTTCTTTTTCGAAGTGCTAGTCATGATGTGAAATCCTAGTAATTCACAACATTCAGTTTGCACACTCATCAACAAAATATCCAAAACAGAAATAGTGCAGGGTGGTTTGATTTTCTGTTAGTAATAGAACATTCAATAGGAAGTCTTCCAAAACGTATTTGAGCGTTTTGAGATTTTTGTGAACCCCGTTCTCCAGCTGCCTGCTCCCCACACTCCCCAATTGGAAAGAACAGGAGAAGCACTGCTGTTAGCCAGCAGTGGGAGTGGGAACTTCCTACTTAGCGTCCAGTGACACCAACACCACACCCATGAGGACAATGGGGGTAGTGGTGGCTGCATGGGTTTCTTTCCCCCATGGTAATCTTTGACTGAAGTAGAACAAAGATTGTCAAAAGGTTTTTGTCCACTCAGCTACCTGTTTTCCAGCTCACTGGCTAGAGAAAACAAGCATCTCTTGAGAGTTTTTTTCTCGATGACCATTGGTGATTCCACACTGAGGGTCTCTTCCATTTCTATATAGATAGACACAATGCAAAAGAAAAAGAAAGTCGAGAGAACTAGCCGTCAGATTGTTTCTTGAGTCCCAAGGCCCCTAACCAGTTTGCCTTCCTTTTTCCAGCCTTCAGAAACTGCCTGTGCTTGTTTTATGAATTATGTCTAGAGTTTCTCCCTGTACTTAGTGGGACAAATAGAGAGAAATGTGTCTACCTCTTTTTGACCAGAATAGGAAGTACAATAAATGCATTTTTAACAAGCTTAATAGTAACAAGAGAAAAGGAAATTAAATAAGATACTGTTTTACTCCTTTGGTGTGTTAGAGATGGCATGAGAAATGGTAGCTGTTAAGTATGATAGGAAATGTATAGATTGTTTCATATATTAGCAAAATCAATTTAATGCTATATCTGAAAAGTTTTAATAATTTTCATAATTTTTGATTTAGGATTTTTTACTTCTTAAAATTTGTCCCAAATTGAGAGTCACAAAGATTGGTGTATAGTAATTTTTGCATGTGTATTAGCTAATAACATTACTAACTTGAGAAAGGCTAAATAAAATGTGCTGTATTTGTATGATATTAAAATATATTAATTTTCATAGTTTTTGTAATTGAAGGTCATAGTATGTGTTTACATATTTTTTGTCCTAGATCTTGAGTTTTGAGGAAGTTATCTAAAATAATATTAATAGGTAAATATTTTTTACAAAATTCTTATAGTTTTAAAATAAATTATTTAAAAAAATTGCATTGAACTTTATCAATATTACCACTGTTGTGAGCTAGTAATTTATCTTTTTAATAGTCTGTTTATTTGTTCTCATCATTATGCCTTTGGATTCTTTTTGCTGTTTTTCTCTGCATTACAATATTATCTAAATTTCTTGAGAAAATATGTATGAATGGGAATCTTTCTAAATCCTTTAATATTAGAGCAAGACGTTATTTTCCTTCAAATTTAAATTATAATTTTGTTGGGTATATAATTATTGTTACAGAAAAACTTGCCATGAAAAAATCATTCCGTATTACAAAGTGAAAAATCTGATTACTACATGATTCTCATTTCTTCTGTTGTAAACTTTATTTTTATATCTGAGCATTTGGAATTTATTCATTCTTGAAAGATAGATGATAGGTAGGTAGGTAGACAGACAGACAGACAGATAGATAGGTAGATAAAAAAACTGTACATATAGTTTTATTCTGTCTTGGAGAACTTGATCCACAGAACAAAAGCATCTGTATATGCCTTTTCATAAAGAGCATCGAGTAATCTGTCCTTAGTTTCTTTTTTTCTGAAATTATCTTACTTAACACTTAATGTGTCTTAAGTTATCCTTTTATTCTAAAGACAAAAATTTTTAACTAGGCAAATGTTCTTATATGTCATGTTTTACTATTTGTTCTCTTCAGTATTTTCTGCCTTCTCCTTCTGGATTTTATTCAAATGTTTTTAGAACAATCTTTATTTTAACTTTGACATATACATTTATTTATATTTTTAGAGGAAAAATTTAAATTTTTACATAAGAAAACTGTAAATATTCAAGTTTTCAATATATACATTCTCTCAGGTTCAGCTGGTTTTTCTGTTTGTCTTTTCCTTCATGCCATTAATTTTTCTCAACTTTAAAACAATTCTGTACATATTTGTCAATATTTATAATGTACGTTAATTAACTTTGTATCAAGTTAGCAGTGTGTAGGTCTCCTTCAGCAGCAGGTCTTTAAATGAGTTGAACATAGATTTTCTTTTAGTTTGTAAACAACAATCAGATACGAGGGTAGGCAACACCTACAACTGGTAAAAAAAAAAAAATGCTTTTGTTCTGTGTATCAAGTTCTCCTCCAGGATGGAATAAAACACACTAATTTTCTTTTATTTTCTATATTCTTTAGGAAGTCTGGAGTTACTTGGGAATCTGCTTTGCTTTTTCCCTTGCTTGTGAAATACTTTCCAAATGGAAAAATATTTATGCTTTAAGATATGACCGTCTGAAGTAAAATACGCTTTAATTGTATCAGAAACATTTACTAAAGTAACAAGTAATTTATTACCTTTTTTGGCATAAAGTGTATCTGATTCTAATATTCTAGTCACTGATATCTGCTATTGTTCTGTTTGATAGATTTTGCTCTGAATCACACACGTACCCTTTTTCTGTATTAAAACTGTCTGTCTTAAGATGCATAGTTTCCAAAGAACAAAGACAGCTTTATTACATTTTTTCCAGGAGTCAACTGGTCTATCAAAAAATCTCTTAGTATTTTCTAAAAATATATGTTTCCATGCATTTTGGGTGGTTATGATGTTTTGAGATAATAGAAATGGAAAGATAATTAACAAAGATATTAATTTTTGCCATTTTCAAAAATATTCTTACCTTTCAAAATTTTAGGATTATGATACCAGATCTATTTCATTTACTATATTAAAGATTCAAGTCTGACTCATGTACAGCTATGTGTTTAATGAATAAGGACCTGCCAGATTGTCAAAACCAGTGTGTATGTAAGCAACAATAATAGTAATCTTTGAAAGATCTGAAAACTAATTATTTGCTATAGTTCTTCTATTCCTTAAAAAGAGAGTTAGGCCTGCAGTCTTGCTGCAGTGTCAGAATCTTGTCTTTTATTTCCCCCTATTGGCCTTGTAATATGACATCTATCACTGGGATTATTTGCCATGGAACTTTTTTTTTTTCAACTTTTATTCTAGGTTTGAGGGTACACGTACAGGTTTGTTATATAGGTAAACTGCATATCGCAGGGATTTGGTGTACAGATAACTTCATCACCAGGTAATAAGCACAGTTCTCAATAGGTAGTTTTTTGATCCTCACCCTCCTCCTACCTTCCACCCTCAATAGGCCCCAGTGTCTACTATTCCTCTGTTTGTGTCCACCTGTACTCAGTGTTTAGCTCCGACTTATAAGGGAGAACATGTGGCATTTTGTTTTCTTTTCCTGTGTTAGTTTGCTTAGGATAATGGCCTCCAGCTCCATCGATGTTTCTGCAAAGGACATTATCTCGTTCTTTTTTATGGCTGCATAGTACTTCATGGTATATGTGTACACCATAGAGGAAGGGATGAATAGTCAGAGCACAAGAATTTTTAGGGCAGCAAAATAATTTCATATGATACTATGGTAGATATCTGTCATTATATATTTGTGAAAAACCATGTAATTTATAATAACAACTGTAAACCCTTATGTAAACAGTGGTGTTTGGGAGATGATGTGTTAATATAGGTCATCTGTTATAACAAATGAACCTCTTTGGTGGGGAATATTGATAGAGGGGGAGGTTGTGTGTCGGGGGAGGGCAGGGGGTATGTGGAAACTCTATTTTCTTCTCAGTTTTGCTGTGAACCTAAAACTTCTCTAAATAGTAATTTTTTTAAAAAAAAGAATAAAGCAATATTATCCCTTTCTAAAATCTTTTAGAAAGGAATTATTAAATGGTCTTGAGACAGAATACAACTAATATAAATTTGCTATGGTAGAAGTTGATTTAACTAAGTTTCCATTATATTTTTTAAATAAATATTCACTGCACATCATGTTTTGTGAAGTTTTTGTCTGTCTTTAAACAGTGAGGGGGAACTGTTAATAGACAATTGCTCATTAAAATCTGGTCATTGTAATCAGAGTATTTTGCTTTACCTCTGTTATCAATCAGAGAGAAACAAAAAACCAATGCGTACTCTTGAAATTGTCCAGCTAAACCTTGATAATATTTATTGTAAGCTTTAAGAAGTAACATAAAATAGGAAGAAGCAATTACCTTACTATTTTTAGTATTTTAAAGCCATTATATTTTTAAAGAAAATGTTATTATTTAGAACAAAGTAATGTGTTCCTTGATGTTAAAGAGTGATTCTGAAGTTTAAATTCAGACTGAGAATACTTCTGGGAATAATACAAACTTATCATGGAGTTAATGACCCAAAACTCCGGTCCAATCAACACTCTTTGTTAAGGAATAAAATCATTCATTTGATATTTCCCAGAATAATATGGAATTAAATGCAGCGATGAACATAACAATTTATTCATAATTTTCCTGTGAAATAATCCCAAACTAGAAATATTTCAGAAATATTTTATGAAAGAATAAAGTGGGACTAATTATATATGTGTGTGTATATATATATACATAGAGAGAGAGAGAGAAAGAGAGATATCAACCAGAATTTGCACAACTCTGTAGACTTGTATTTCATTAATCACTAGTTCATCTCAGTGCAAAAATGATTTGGGTTATTTAAAACAGATACGCCTCTTCAGATCTGAAAGAATCTGTGTCGTCAAATTTCAAAGACAAGCACCTGAATTTTCATCTAAATAGTCTGATTCAAATTGACCCACATGTATAGTGATGATGTCTTAAATCATAAGTAACTTTTTTTCTTTCATTTTATCATGGATGTCCCTAGGATACATGATATTCACAATGTCTTTTAACTAAGCAAAAAATGAAAACAATCAATTCACACACAGACATAAATGCGAATAAGTGATAGGCATTTTTTACTAAAATCAAAATATTACTCAAAATATCAACTTCTTAGTTTTAAAGTTCTTACATATATATAACAAAAAGTAAGAATATTGAGGAAAATACTGAAAACAAACAGTAGTGTGTACATTGCACCACCAATTATAAAAACATAAACATATGATTGAAATATTTTGGTACTGATACACAAATAGCCAGATAATCCAGGGTAACAGAATAAAAAATACAGCGATAAACCCAAGTGCATATGGAAATTTAGTGTATAACTATGGTGGCATGTGAAATTAGTGGGAAAAACATGAACTGTTTAATAAATGATGTCTTTATAGCTATTTAAAAAAAGATGAAATTAGAATGATATTTTATTGTATACTCTAATATAGATTCCACAATGTAAGCTTAAGTATAGAAAATAATACTATAGAAGTTCTGGAATTAAACATGGATGATTTCTTTTATAACATGAGAGTGGGGAAAACTTTCCTAACTGTGATGGAAAATTCCCCAGTTAAGTATAATGTTAACTGTAGATTTTTTTGTAGATGTGCACTCTCAGATTAAAGAAGTTCATTTTTCTCCCTAATTGACTGATAGCTTTATTTTTAATACAAATGGACATTGGATTTTATCAAATGGTTTTGGTTTTCTTTGCACCTGTCGAGATGATGATTTTTTTCTTTATTAGGTTGTTCATATTGCAAATACATTAATCTTCAAATGATAAACCAACTTTGCATATTTGGGGAAAAAAAAACTTGGTCATGATGAATTACCGTTCAAAAAGATGTTTGTATTTGCTCAAATTTTGATTAAAATCAGTGCAATCAAACTAGAACTCAGGATTAAGAAACTCACTCAAAACCGTTCAACTACGTGGAAACTGAACAACCTGCTCCTGAATGACTACTGGGTACATAACGAAATGAAGGCAGAAATAAAGATGTTCTTTGAAACCAACAAGAACAAAGACACAACATACCGGAATCTCTGGGACACATTCAAAGCAGTGTGTAGAGGGAAATTATAGGACTACATGCCCACAAGAGAAAGCAGGAAAGATCAAAAATTGACACCCTAACATCACAATTAAAAGAACTAGAAAAGCAAGAGCAAACACATTCAAAAGCTAGCAGAAGGCAAGAAATAACTAAAATCAAAGCAGAACTGAAGGAAATAGAGACACAAAAAACCCTTCAAAAAATTAATGAATCCAGGAGCTGGTTTTTTGAAAGGATCAACAAAATTGATAGACTGCTAGCAAGACTACTAAAGAAGAAAAGAGAGAAGAATCAAATAGATGCAATAAAAAATATTTATCATCAGAGAATACTACAAACACTTCTACACAAATAAACTAGAAAATCTAGAAGAAATGGATAAATTCCTCGACACATACACCCTCCCTAGACTAAACCAGGAAGAAGTTGACTCTCTGAATAGACCAATAACAGGCTCTGAAATTGTGGCAATAATCAATAGCTTACCAACCAAAAAGAGTCCAGGACCAGATGGATTCACAGCCGAATTCTACCAGAGGTACAAGGAGGAACTGGTACCATTCCTTCTGAAACTATTCCAATCAATAGAAAAAGAGGGAATCCTCCCTAACTCATTTTATGAGGCCAGCATCATCCTGATACCAAAGCTGGGCAGAGACACAACCAAAAAAGAGAATTTTAGACCAATATCCTTGATGAACATTGATGCAAAAATCCTCAATAAAATACTGGCAAACTGAATCCAGCAGCACATCAAAAAGCTTATCCACCATGATCAAGTGGGCTTCATCCCTGGGATGCAAGGCTGGTTCAATATACACAAATCAATAAATGTAATTGCATCCATTTTCATGAGAAAACTTTATCAGGTTTCTTTATTTGAATTTGTTTGATTTCTCTGAAATCTATTTGTCAGATAAAAACACATCCACTCCAGCTCTCTTTTCTTCAGGATTAGCATGGTATATTTTTCCGTTTTGCCACCTTTTGGTCTATTTTTAAAATTTATGGTATGTTTCTTCCAGGCAGCGTGTAGTAGTATCTTACTTTTTTAAATCCAACTTGGTTATCTCTGCCTTTTAATTGGGATGCTTAAACTGTTTTTAGCTACTATAATTGCTGATATGTGTAGGTTTAACATCTAGATTTTGTTTTCTATTTCTCCCATCTGTTTTTTTATTTGATTGCTTTCCCTTTTTCTCTTTTTGTAATTGCTTTTGAAGTAATTCAATACTCTTTATTATTCCATTTTATCTTCTTTGCGACTTATTAGCGCTTGCTCTTTCTTGTGGTTTTAGTGATGCTTTAGGATTGTTGGTATTCATGTTTAACTTATAGTATTCTTTCAAGAGATATTATACTACTTCTAGTATAGTATAAGAAATTACAATTGTATACTTCTTTTTCTTCTCTCCTGATCTTATGATATTATTATATATTTACCTATACATATGTCATAAACCTCACTTTAAATCATTATTGGCTTATTATCTTTCCAAGAGCCTTAAAATAAGAATATTATCTCGTATAATTACCCATGTAGTTACCATTTCTGCTACTGACTCTTGTGTAGACCCATCTCTTCATCTTACATCATTTCCTATCTGCCTAAAGGCATACTTCCAACATTTTTTCTCGTGTGGGTCTGCTGGTGAATTCTTTCATGGTTGGCATCTAAAGTAAGTGTTTATTTTTGCCTTTACTTTTGAAAGATATATTCACTGAGTTTAACATTCTAAGATGCTGTTTTTTTCTCTTAGTATTTTAAATATGTTGTTCCAGTAGTGTTCCTCATGCAGCCTTGGTGCTGCGTGCATCTCGGGCATGCAGTGCCCTTGCTCTCCGTTACTTATAATCCTTTTCCTTTTATCATGCCTGATGAAGAGGAGGAGGTAGAGATTTGCACTTTTCAGGCATTAATTGCCGAACCCATGTCTCTCATCATCAATACCTTCTATTTCAACAAGGAGATTTTCCTTTGGAAGAGATTTCTAGTGCATCTGATGCCTTGAACAAGATTTACTATGAGAGCCTTCCAAGTTAGACAGTGGTAAAGAGCTAAATATTGACATCATCCCCAACCCTCAGGAACACATCCTGACTTGCTGGGCACAGGCATTGGTATGTCCAAGGCTGATTTAATAAATAATTTGGGAACCATTGCCAAGTCTGGTACTAAAGCATTTATGGAGGCTCTTCAGGCTGGTGCACGCATATCCATGATTGGGCAATTTGGTTTTGGCTTTTATTGTGCCTACCTGGCTTTTATTGTGCAAAGAAAGTGGTTGTGATCTCAAAGCACAGCAATGATGAACAGCTTTCCTGGGAGTCACTCTTCTGCGGGGCATTCCTTCACTGTAGGTGCTGACCACAGTGAGCCCATTGGCTGGGGTACCAAAGTGATCCTCCACCTTAAAGAAGACTAGACAGTACTTAGAACAGAGGCAGGTCAAAGAAGTAGTGAAGAAGCAATCTCAGTTCATACGCTATCCCATCACTCTTTATTTGGAGAAGGAATGAATGAAAGAAGAAAATCAGTGACAGTGAGACAGAGAAAGAGAAAGGGGAGAAAGAAGAGGAAGATAAAGGTGAGGAGGAAAAGCTCAGGATTGAAGATATGGGTTCAGATGAGGAGAATGACAGTAGTAAGGATAAGAAAAAGAAAACCATGAAGATCAAGGAGAAATATATCCTTCAGGAAGAACTAAATGAGACCAAGCCTATCTGCACCAGAAACTCTGATGACATTACCCAGGAAGAGTATGGAGAATTCTACAAAAGCCTCACTAATGACTAGGAAGTCCACTTGGCATTCAAGCGCTTCTCTGTAGAAGGTCAATTGGAATTCAGGGCATTGCTGTTCATCGCTTCTCAGGGGCTCCCTTTGACCTCTTTGATAAGAAGAAGAAAAAGAACAACGTCAAAGTCTGTATCGATTGTGAGTTCACCATGGACAGCTGTGAGGAGTTGATACCACAATATCTCAACTTGATGTGTAGTATTGTTGATTTTGAAGCTCTGCCCTGGATCATCTCCCAAGAAGTGCTCCAGCACAGAAAAATCTTGAAAGTCATTTGCAAAAACATTGTTAAGAAATGCCTTGAGGCCAGGCACGGTGGCTCACTCCTGTAAACTCAGGCCAAGGTGGGTGGATCACTTGAGGCCAGGAGATCGAGACCAGCCAGGTCAACATGGTGAAATGCCATCTCAACTGAAAATACAAAAATTAGCCAGGCATGGTGGTGCATACCTGTAATTCCAGCTACTTGGGAGGCTGAGTCAGGAGAATCACTTGAACCCAGGAGGCAAAGGTTGCAGTGAGCTGAGATCAGGCCACTGCACTCCAGCCTGGGCAACAGAGACTCCTCTTCAAAAACAAAACAAATAAAAAAAAACAAAAAAAAAAAGAAAGAAAAAAGTATCTTGAGCTCTTCTCTGTGCTGGCAGAAGACAAAGACAACTAGAAGAAATTCTATGAGGCATTCTCTAAAAACCTAAAGCTTAGAGCCCATGAGGACTCCACTAACCAGCTATGTCTGTTTGAGCTGCTGTGTTTTCATGCCTTCCAGTCTGGAAATTAGATGAAATTTCCATCAGATTATGTCTCTCACATGAAGAAGACACAGAAGTCCACCTATGACATCACTGATGAGAGCAGAGAGCAGGCTGCCAACTCTGCTTTCTGGAGCGAGGATGGAAGCAGGGCTTTGAGGAGGTGTACATGACCAAGCCCACTGCATGCAGCAGCTCAAGGAGTTTGATGGGAAGAGCCTGGTCTCAGTTACCAAGGAGAGTCTGAAGCTACCTGAGGATGAGGAGGAGAAAAAATGGAGGAAAGCAAAGTGAAGTTTGAGAACCTCTGCAAGGTCATGAAATAAACCTTAGGAGGTTTTAGAAAGTGGCTATCTCCAATAGGCTTGTGTCTTCAAACTGCTACATTGTGACCAGCACCTACAGCTGGAAGCCAACATGGGGTGGATCATGAAAGCTCAGGCACTTCGGGATAGCTCTATGGTGGGCTACATGACGGCCAAAAAGCTCTTGGAGATCAACCTCAACCACCCCATTGTGGAGACACTGCTTTAGAAGGCTGAGGCAGACAAGCACAGCCAGGCTGTCAAGGACCTGGTGGTGCTGCTGTTTGAAACCACACTGCTGTCTTCTAGCATCTCCCTCAAGGATCCCCAGACCCACACCAGTGGCATCCACTGCAAGATCAGGGTGGGTCCAGGTTTCAATGAAGACAAAGTGGCAGCAGAGGAATCCAGTGCTGCCATTCCTGATGAGGTTCCCACCTCCTGAGCGTGATGCGGATATGTCTCGCATAAAGGAAGTAGATTAGGAATTTATACTTGGAAGCCTTGTGCCCTCTTTATAACGTCCCCATGGCTCCCTTCACAGCTTTGAGTGGCCCATCCCACCTGGCTCCCTCTGCTGATGTCTGGTGGTTTTTCCCTCCTGTCCTTATGTCTAATGCAGGAAACAAGGGCCTGAAGCCCTAGTCTCTCTCTGCTTTGACAACAACATTGGATGTTGTGTATTTTTGTTGTTCTGAAATAAAGGTATGGAAAATAAAGTTGATGTTGTTTAATAAAAAATAAAATAATATTAATAAAATAACAACATAATTCCATTACCTTTTCACTTACATTGTTTCTGGTAGGAAACATACTGTCATCCTTATGACAAAAAATAGTAAGTGTTATCTTTCTGACTGCTCTTGCGATTTTATTATTGTTTTTGAGTAATTTGATTATGATGTACCTTGGTGTAGTTTTCTCCATGCTTCTAGTGCATGAAACTTATTAAATGTTTTGTATCTTTGGGTTTACTGTTCTCACCAAATTTGAAAATGCCCAAGCCATTATTTCTTCAATAAGGTTCTTTTTTTTTTCTGTTGTCCTCTCCTCTTTTTTGAGGAACTTAAACTACACTGATGTTAAAGCCCCTTGTAACTACGCAGTGCTCACCGATGCTCTGTTCATTTTTCTTACCCTCTTTTCTTTTTGTTTTATTTCAGGTAGTTTATATTGCTAGGTATACAAGCTCACTAATGTTTTCTTCTTCAACATATAATCTACAATTAATACCATACAATGTATTTTTTCATCTCTGAAATTGTAGCATTCAACTATAGACGTTTTGGACTGTAGTCTTTCTCATATCGGCCATGTTCCTACTGAAATTTTGAACACAATGATATAGTTGTTAACTACTTAATGCCTGGATGTCTGCTAAGTGTAACATCTATATTAGTTCCTAGTTAGTTCTGATTGATTGATCTCTTCATTATTGGTCACGTTTTCCAGCTTCTGCAAATGCCAGCGAATTTTGATTGAATAGAAGCCTAACAGTCATTATGAGTTTTACCTTGTTACTTTAAAATGTGGTGCTGGGTATTATTGTATTTCTGGAATTACCCTTTGTCTTTGTTCTGATATGTAGTTAGGACACTAGGAAATGTTTGATTTTTTTAGTCTTTGCTTAAACTGTTTTATAGATAGTATCAGAGCAATGTTAATTGAAGGTCTAATTACACTCACCTACTGAAGCAAAAAACCTTCAAACATTCTCTCCAGTGGCCAGTGAATCATAAAATTTTTGTCTGACTGGTGGGAACAGACACTATTTCTGGTTCTTTGCGAACTCTGGACATCTTTGTCTTTAATTCTGCCCTTGATTTGGGCCGTTGCTTTACATATATACGATGAATATATGTAATATATACAGCTGAATACTCTTCACAGTTGTCTCTCTGGGAACCATCTTCTGTTTTAGTAGCCTGCCCTGCAAACCCTAGCTGTGCTGGTATCTCTATTAGTTTTCTACTGCTGACATTAAAAAAATGACAAAATTTATTATTTTACATGCCTTTAAACAAGACAATGTATTGTCTTACATTTCCATGGGTCAGACGTGTAACATGGGCTTCACTGCTCTAAAATCACGATGCCAACAGGGCTGCATTCCTTTCTGGAGACTCTGGGGAAAACTAATTTCCTTGCCTTTTTCAGCCCACATTCTATGCTTCATGGCCCCCTTCTTCCATCTTCACAATAATGGCAGATCATGACCTTCTCATGCTCCCATCTCTCCCACTCTCTTTCTTGATCCCCAGAAGAAAAAGGTTCTTCATTTTTAAGGACTGATGGGATTAAATGGGGCTCACCCACCTAATCCAGGTAATCTCTATCTGAAGGTTCTTTACTTTAATCAGATTTATAAAGTTCCTTTTGTCATGTACGGTAAAATATTCACAGGTTCCAAGGATTAGGACAGGAACTTCTTTGGCGGGACATTATTTTAATTACGAGAGTACACCTGGATTTCCAGATTTATTTCCTCTACTCATGGTGTCTGCTGGGTTCTGCCTAAATTGCTCTTCATTGTACTATGGCCTGGAAACTCTCTCAAGGCATCAAGCTAGGGAAATTATAGATCTTATGTCATTTACGTCTTTCAGAGATTTCTGTTCTTCATTGTTTGATGTCTTGTGTCTTGAAAAACGTTGTATTTTGTATTTTTTGTTTGTTCATTGTTTCAAGTGGAATAAGCCTGGCCCAGATTACCCCCATTTATTTGGAAGAGAAATTCTGTGCTAAAAATATTTTGAAGGTCTGTATTATGACAGTATTTCCTTGGTAGATTGATCTCTTATCAAAAAAACGATTATTTCTTTTTCTCAAGAAATTTTTCTTGCCTTGAAATCAGCTATGCCTAGTATTTTACCACTACAGCAGCTTTTTATGTATTTATTTACTGCTTACCTATTTTAGTTAGAATTTGCCAGTTATATCTTTGTTACTTTTCTTTACTCCAATCTTTCTCTGATTTTATGCCTTGTAAACGTATAGTGATTATTGATGATGTCATTACTGCTGTTTTCAATCCAAAATTGTTAGCCCTTTAAGTGGACCATTTAGCTCATTTATACTTAATATGTGGACCATTTAGCTCATTTATACTTAATATGTTTACTGATGTATTTGGTTGTAACACTGTCTTTCTATTTGAGCCACATTTTTACATTCCTTTTTCTGTTTCCTCTTGACTTCTTTGGGAATAAACAGTTTTTATAAGCACCTGAATTGGTGCTTATATATTCCCCTGTAGAGTGGCATGTTGTCAGTTGTCTGGAAAGTTCAATATTATGCAAACTAAATTTTATTTGAATGCAATTAGGAAATTAATATACTGTACTTCTAATAAAATTAAAAGTTTTTCTTTTACTTTGAACAAAACGTAAATGCAGAAAAGTACAAAAAACAACATATAAACAACCTTGTACTTGCTTTTCAGAATTGATGGTAGTTAATGTTTAGTTGTACAGGAATTACGTCATTTTTTACTTAGAGAAAATATAAGTAAAGTAGAAATTCAACTTTCATGTATTTTAAGCATGATGCCCTCCACATTACCTCAAAAACCTTATGTGCTTTTTAAATTTACATACTTTTTTTGTTAATAATAGTCTAGTCATAACTCTATAGCTTGATTTTTTTCATAGAGTATTTTGTTTTCCAAATCTGTCTTTGTTAAGATAGATCTATATCTATATATAGTTAGTGAACTCTACTTTTTGTAATGCAAATAAATTCTATCTTCATATCAAATTTTATATTTTATTTATCCTTTCATAGTTGAAACATAGACTGTTACCTAAATTTTGCCATTGTAAATATGTGAACTGAGCCTCCTTAAAAGTACCTTGTCTGCACATTTGCAAAAGTGCCATTACCATATACACCTAGAAGTGAAATTGCTGGCTCTTATTATGTGCATATCTTTAACTTTACTGCATAAAGAAATTTTAATTTTGCTAACCGAATGGGTGTGAAATAGTATGTTTTATTTTATATTTTTTCTAATAGCCATAGTAATTAAATCTCAGTTGCATGCTGGTTAATAGCATTTCTTCTTCATAAAATATCTCTTCATGAAGTATTTGTCCTTTATTTTTCTACTAATTTGTTTTGTTTTTTGCTCATTTATTTGTAGCAATCATTGAATTCTGGTGAATGATTCTTTATCTGTTATATGTGTTACAAATACTTTCTTGTTCATTTATGAATGATATTAAATGATGTGTGTCCTCTTAACATTTTGTGTTTTCATCATTGTCATGATATATATCAGTAGTTCATTATTTTAATACCATATAGCTTTTTAAAAATTGTTTGAATATTCAAATTTTGTCTTTGACTATTACATTGTCTATTACATACAAATATGGGCCACTTCATTTTGTAGCTATTCTAAATAAAGATGTGTGTACATCTTAAAATGCATACACTCAATTTTTTAGACATATATCTGAGATTCATATTGGTAGGTAATAGGATTTGCTTGGTTAATGATATTAGAATCAGCTAAAGAGTTATCAAAGCTGGCTCTATCATTTACTCACATTCTAGTCATGTATGAAATTTCCATTAAACCTCATCTTTGCCAACGCTTGTCATTTTCTTTCTTTTTAATTTAAATTCCGATGAGTGTGTAGTCATATTTTATTCTTCTTTTAATGACAACAATATTTTTATATATTAAATATTTGAATATCTAATTTTGTGAAATAATTGTTTAATTCTTTAGTCCAGCCATACTGATTTATCTGTTCTTTCCAATTGATTTCTTAATAGAACTTTAAATAGTCTAGACAGAAATCCTTTGCTGCCCATAGATGCATTGAAAATACCTTTCCCAATCCGTTGTTTGCCTTTTTACTTCCATCATATTGGCAATAGATAAGCAGAACATTTTAATTTTGATGAAATATGTTTTAATATTTTTTCTTTTATGCTTATTACGTGTTCAGTCTTTCCCATAAAATATTTGCTTTTTCCACGGTCATAAAGAAATTATCCTGCATTTTCTTCAAAAACCTTCACAGTTTTACCTTCATATTTAGGTCTACGATTCATTTCTAATTAATATTTGTGGATAGTAAAATAAGATTCAAAGATTTTTTAAAAAATACATATGTATAGACTTTCCAGCACTTTTTATTGAAAAGTCCTTCCATTGACTTATTAAATTGTAGTACCTTTGGCAATAATCTAAGACCATGTCCATGGTCTATTTGTGACTTATCTATTAATATTTCTGTTCTGTTGATCTATTTGTCTGAAATTTTAGCAATATCACAATGTGTTTCTTAGTGTAGCCTTGGAGTAAATCTTGAACTTAAATAGATCTGATCTTGAAAATTCCACCCCTTTTTATAAATTGTTTCATTTAGATTTCTTTATAACCACATTTCTACAGTGCCCTTACAAACATAATTTTTAGTTAACCTAGGTTATAATGGCATGAGCACACATCTTAACCAGAAATGGAATCACAGGAGAAATCCTTAAACAAAGCACAAAATGCAAACTGCAAATACAAGTTTGTTAAAAATTCAACTACATGAAAGATTTTTTCATAAAAAGTCCCTGAAAAGAGAGTGAAATGAGAAGCTCATCTAATGAGAAACTCTTGTATGTGAGCAGTAGGAGATATGGAATTGAAAATTCAAAGTAGAATTATTTAAAATAGGAGAAACTGGGATACGTCTCCACATCATTGATAATCGAACTAATAAATCAATATTGGGGTGTGTGTGTGAGAAAGAGAAAGTCTGTGTGTGTATATATATAATTTATAATAGAAATGGGTGACACCCAACTAAATCAATATAGAAAAATCTTAAAACATAATGCTGTGTAAAATAGAGAGTTCACAGAAATACTATATCTATATTTAGATGTCATTATGATTCCACTTGGAAATGTTAAAACCAAGCAAACCTATGCAAAGAGTATGAACACATGAACATATATTTAACATTTATATAACATATTAAATAACATGATTAACAAAAAGGAATTTAACATTTCAACCACAGATTATCTTTGTTGATGAAAGTAGAAGTGTTTAACAAGTCTACTTAATAGTCAGAATATTATTGGGGTGGAAGAGATATAATGTACATACACTACTGGTTTGGGAATAATTTGATGAAGGCCTTCCATGAATAATTAGGTAATATTTACCAATGTATTTTCAATAAAACATCCCTTTATCTTTTCATATAAATTCTGTATTTGTGGATTTATCTTAAAATAATTCAGAAATATAGAAAAATATTTATGAACAAGAAATTGTATTATAGTATTATTAAACATAGCAATAAAAGAACCATATTATAGCTCCATTAATTTGTTTGGTAAGACAAACCATGATTGAATGAAAGATTGTGCCAATGTTAAGACAAACTGAAAGTGCTACACTGTAATAAAGGTGATCAATATTACTTTGGAAAATCTCAAGTGAAGATTCAGGAGAATTCAGAAAGTTCTGAAATAAAATACAGCAAATTATTATTTTATAATACATTGTTTAATCTTGTTTTTTATTTTATTTAAATTAGTTTTAACTTTCATTTTGACTTCATGGGTACATGTGCAGGTTTGTTGCAGAGGTAAACATGTGTCATGGGTGTTTGTTGTATAGACTATTTCATCACCCAGGTATTAAGTCTAGTACCCAATTAATTATTTTTCTTGATCCTCTCCCACCTCCCACCCTCCACTCTCCAGTAGGCCCCAGTGTGTGTTGTTCCCCTCTATGAGATACCATCACACAGCCATCAGAATGGCTATTATTAAAATGCTATATTTAAAAACTTAAATATAACACATGCTGGCAAGGTTGTCAAGAAAAAAAAAACACTTATACATGGTTGGTAGGAGTGCAAATTAATTCAACCGTTGTGGAAGACAGTGTGTCAATTCCTCAGAGGCCTAAAGACAGAAGTACCATTCAACCCACCAATCCCATTACTGGGTATATACCCAAAGGAATATAAATCGTTCTGTTATAAAGACACATGCGTGTGTATGTTCATTGCAGCGCTATACACAATAGTGAAGACATGGGATCAACCTAAATACCCATCAGTGATAGACTGGATAAACAAAATGTGGTACATAGACATCATAGAATATTATGCAGCCACAAAAAAGAAATAAGATCATGTCCTTTGCAGGGACATGGATGGAGCTGGAGGCCGTTATCCTTAGCAAACTAATGCAGGAACAGAAAACCAAATACTGCATGTTCTCGCTTATAAGTGGGATCTAAATGAAAATCTTGTTTTTTTAAAAAGGTAATTTCACCCAGGAATCAGTAATTAATTTTGATACAGTTATAAATGAAGCTGCTATCAACATCCCTATGTAGTTATTTTATGGACACATATTTTAATTCCTCTTAAATGAATGTATTGAAGTGTAATTCCATGGTCATGGGGTAGATATATATTTAATTTTATCATAAACTGCTAAGCAACTGACTGTCAGCACAAGAATATGTATCCAAATAGCGGTATAATCATGTAATAGAGCACCATTTAAAAAAGGAAAAAGAAACTAACTACTACCCATCTTGGATTCCTGGGGTCAATATTAAAATTAAAATTCATCCTATGTTACATACATATTATTTTTTCACATTGTTAAATTAATCTCAAATTTTAAAAATGTATTGTGTGTATATATTCAAATGTC
The DNA here is from genome assembly GCF_000001405.40 of Homo sapiens. Lineage (NCBI taxonomy): Eukaryota > Metazoa > Chordata > Mammalia > Primates > Hominidae > Homo > Homo sapiens. The sequence continues at coordinate 9,714,751 of NC_000010.11, read as the reverse complement.
ATGCTTTTTTGTAACATAATTTCAAGTGAGAAAGGTGTATATATACACATATATATGCATACGTATGAGTTTATGTGTGTGCGTATGTGTATGTGTGTGTATAGTTTGATTTAAGTTACATCTAGACAAAAGATGATATTAACAGTGCATTTCTAGGTTTCAGTAACTTAGATGATTTTTGTTTCTTAGAGATTTTGTGTATTTTGCAAATTGACCTTAGAATAAACTCTTTATTTTGAAATTGTTGGAGGTAGTAAACTCATAATAAATATTTAATTCAATTATAAGGAGCGAGGTGTCCTCACTATTCAAAATACAACTCTTACAGCATAAAAACTAAGAAGGGATGAGTGTGTCTTTATTCTCTGCTGTGATATTTGATTAAAATATTTGACAAAATATTCCAGAGTGGTGAATGATATCTCTGCTGTCCTGTGACAGAATCTAAAATTCTAATCATTAGGGAGTCATTCTTCTAGTATACAAATAGACATGAGATTATGTTAAATAATTTTACTGCTAGTCCTTAAAAAAATTGAGATCTTTTCATACACTGTGACACAAAGACACTAGAGGATCTTTGTTTACAGTACTGTTTGCCCGGCACCCACTCGACCTGCCCTAGCCATTTTGGGGGTAGTCTATCAACATATTGGATTGGGAAAAATTCCACCTTCTATTATTTTCTCTTGGCACACAGTTGAAAACCAGATTGGTTTTTAGTTTCTATCCCAAATTTTTAAACAGTGTCTGGCTTTACCCACAAAAAATCTGGGGAAGAGCAATAGGAAAGAACACTTTAGATTATGGCAAATGAAGAGCTAAGCATCTTCAGAAATATATATATATATATTCAGTAACACTGAGTATATATATATATATTCTGAATATTATATATACATATATATATTCAGTATATATATATATATTCTGAATATTATATATACATATATATTCAGTAACACTGTAGGATCTACCTAGGATGTAATTTACATTGTGACATCTAACATTGACTATTAAACAAAACTATGAAGTGATGTCAGCAAGATGGTAGAATAAGAAAAACCCCACTTATATCCCCCACAACAATTTGGCAGCCATCTGGAAAGAAAAGTGCCTTTGTGGGAACTTTGAGTTCTAGGCAGGAGGCAGTGAAACCCAGGTGGAGCCTGTGACCAAGGAGGGCTATTTTGAGAAGGCAGGTTCCCATGCAGATGGCACACTCACTACATGTAGTCACAGCTACAGACCCAGAAACAGCCCTATCTCCCTATGGATTTGGCTACAGTCTCCTTTGGCTTTTGTCCTTCCATTAGCACCATTCACTCAGGAACCTGGGAAAAGACATCCCTGCCTTTGCCCTGGATACCAGGCTCACCAACCTCATTCTGATTGCAGATCTTGATGCAGCCTTGTCATTGGTTCCCTCAATCCCTGTCAGCAGTGGTCCAGTGATAGTTCTGTCCTTCCAGTGGTCTGCAGAGAGACCTGGCAGAAGTCCTCCCAGGATACAGTGGGAGCTATACTTGCCCTTAGAGCTGGTAACAGATCAACTGTTTGAGCATCCTGAAGTGGACCCTTGTCCCAGTGCCACTACTACTGACCAGAATACTGGAGGCAGTCCCATCATGTCCAGGTATGAGGCAGGATCCACACTTCCCAAGCCTCTAGTAACTGAAGACATACTGTGAACCCAGAAGCAACCACGTGACCCAGCTCCAACATCACTTTACTGCAATTCCAGAGAAATTCCTGTTGTCTAGGGGGATTGAGTGTCGATCTTTACCTGTCTTATATAGAGACTGGAAGAGATGTCTGCTCTTTCAAATATATAGACACAAATGGCAGGATATTCAAATCATGGGGAATCAAGCAAATATAACAACACCAAAGGAAACTAATAAAGCTCCAATAACCTACCCCAAAAGAATGGAGATCTATGAGTTGCCTGATAAAAAATATAAAATAATCATCTTAAGGAAGCTCAATGAGATGTAGGAGAACATAGACAGCTAAGCAAAATCAGAAAAACAATTCATGAACAAAATGAGTAGTTTAATTAAAAATAGAAACCATAAAAATGAACCAAACTAAAATCCTGGAACTGGAGAATACCAGGACAGGACTAAAAATTCAATAGAGAGCTTCAACAGCAGACTCAATTATGTAGAAGAAAAAGTAAGCAAACTTGAAGACAGGTCAATTGAAATCAGCCAGTTAAAGAAACTGAAAGAAAGAATAATGAAAAACAGTGAAGAAAGCATTTGAGACCTCTGAGAACCATCAAACAAACAAGTATATGTTATGGAAGTCCCAAGAGAAGAGAGAAAGGAACAGAAAGAAATAGTGGCTAAAAACTTTCCAAATAGTGGGAGGAGTATGGATATCCAGCTCCATGAAGCTCAAAGAACCTAAACACAGCGATCTGAAGAAGAGTACCTTGAAACATATTATAATCAAATTGTCAAAAGTCAGAGAGAATTTTGAAAACAGCAAGAGAAAGGTGACTCATAACATAGGAGGAATGTTCATAGGGCTATCAGCAAATTTCTTAGCACGCAAAACAGTCACTTTGATTTATAAATTGCTATTGAGTCATTAGGTAGTATATTTCTGGCAGAATAAAAAGTAACAGCAGCAATCCCTTTTCACCTTCTCAAACAAATACTAGAGTTGTTTCTAGTATGTCTCAGAGAAAAGTTCTGGAAATAATCAAAATGATCTGGAATGCAATAAAACTAGTATATAGCATGTATCTAAATGAACAAGAACTGTGAGATAGTTATTTTTAATGCTTATTGGTGATAAAGGAAATGTATTAGAATGTATATTGTAGTCTACTTTGCAGTTTACAGCATGAACTGTAGTAATTAGAATTGGAATTAGTAAGATGCCATTGTTGGTTATAAAACCAGTTGCAGCAGGTTTTCATGGGAAGGATCCTATACTGAGGGAATAGGCTAAGTTGTCTACAAGCTCAGTAAATGCTTTTTGTTCATTATGGTGCTATTAAGTAAGGTAGCCTTAAAATGTTAATGTAGCATCTAAAAATGCCTAGCTCTCTCCTTAGACACTAGAAGTGAAACTGGCTCAGTAAAATTTAAGAGCAGCAATATCAGAAGCAGAGTTCAATGCCTCAGAGTTTTATAAAAATGTTGTTATCATCATCATTGAGGCTTCAATTGAAATTAAATCCTAGTGGTTTATTTAGAAGATCTTGTAACCTGGTGTGAGAGTATTTGAAAAGTTCAGGAATAAGTATTGAAAAACATAAGCTTATAGTGATGATGAATGAAAAGAAATGTGATTCTTAAAGAAATGCTGATAAATGGAATAAGAGTTTTAGAAATAAACGTCATAATGTTTTCACAAAGATAATTTTTTATTTGATAAAAAGATTCACTTTTAATAGGTTGCCCACATAGCAAATGTTCCACTTTTTAAAAAATACTATTATATTGCCTTTTAAATTCTCTCCCATCCCCCTTTTCCCTGTCCATGTGTATTTGGTAAATTTTCTCTAATCCCCTTCATTATTTCCAAGAATGACTATTTGAGCAATATGTAAGCATAAATCACTAAAAGTAGTCTGAACTCTATTAGAATAAAACTTCAAAACAATTGAAGTATGTATTCTAAGTCATGAACTATGGACCATCAGAATTCTAACAGTAAGAGATAATCTACCCCCCTTTTATACCTGATTATGTTTAAAATTCTGGAGGACCAGTGTGCATGCCTGAGTGGCTACAGCCTATGATTTGCCATAGGAATTATAGGAAAAATCATTGGAATAAAAACTGCATTCTGACTGCAAAATGACTGAAATATTTGACATATTATTCTATGGGTAGTGGAGAACCATTACTAACATTTTTTTGAGCAGGGTAATATAACTTCCAAATTTATGTTATTTTTAGAAAAAAACAACTTTGAACAGACACTATACATTTAGAAATATGAAAGAAGGGGAAAACTATATTGCAATAAGCCAGGAGTTAAATATAAATTATAACAAGTAGGAGTAGGAATAAGAGAATGAGACTCTTTGTGTTTGTATGGAAACAGACAAATTGAAGATTGCTATTCTGTTTGACAGAGGGCTAAAGGAGAAGGAGTGATTGATGCTGTTCTTGTAATGTTTTGCTTGAGTAAATAGTCAGATGATAGTAGCATTACCTTATATAGAGAATGTAGGATGATAGGTTTTGAGGGAAAGATCACAAACAATTTTATACATGGTCTTTGAAGTCATTTACAGTAATTTTAATATTTGTATTAAATATTGAATTATAAAATATTTATTAAGAACTATCCAATGTGCATTTCATTTGGTTTTATAAGTTCTCAATGTTGAAGATACAAATTTTACTGTTATTTGACTAGAGATTACATTGAAGATATTTGTGGATGGGATTGTAAAAGTAAGAGCAGAAATAATTAGGAAGCAAGTGGGCTGAGTGTGCCTGAGACTATCCACATCAAAGGGGTGAGTATATGAAAGAGACAAACAATTAAAAAGCGATCAGTGAGGAGGGAGGTAAAGTTAATAGTGTCCTGAAAGCAAAGCATGCAATTTTAAAAAGAAAGCACAAGTCAACAGTATAGAAGGCTTTCAAGAGATCATATAGGAGAAGGCTTGATAATAGGTCTGTGTAATCGGAAGTTCATAAATCACTCATAACACTGGAATTTAGGCTTCAGATTAGTAATACTGTAGAAATCAGCTTGTATTAGAAAAAGCTGAAAAGTGAAAGCAAAGAAGAGATGGCTCTTATTTTGAAACTGGAGGTAAAGAGAAAGCCAGAAAACCTGAAGTAGACTTCGGAGCAACAGGTTCTGAGGACTGATTTGAAAGCTAAGGGCAAGTAATCATAAAAAGGTAATGGTTAGAGATGTAAGTGAGAGAGGCCATCAGTGATGAAGTAACAGAAGATCTAGTTGAAGCCACAGAGTTGAGTGTAGTGTCGGAAATAAAGTTATTAAGAATGTCAGGAGTTGAAGTCAGTTTACAACATGGTAGTTGGAAACAGAGGATTAGGCCTGGGGGTTAGAACAGTGTAATGTCACCTATGCATTCCAATTTCACTCTTTAGAACCTAAACCTAGCTTGAGAGGTGACTCCTCTATTTTCTTTAATTCACATATTTAATCCATGTGAATGGTATTAAACTTGCAGACAGGATGAGAAATATTCACTCTGCTTCAGGGATTTGGTGATTCTGTCAAAGACTGAAAATTCTGAATGTTCAACATCTGCATATAGAGCTTCCTTTGGTCCTTCCTTTAGGTTCGCTATGACAGTGGTTCTCAGGCTTTTGATACATAGTGCTTAATGTACAAGTTTATTGATAGGACAACCATGCATATTCTATGTTATGAAAGATTTAAGAGATTTTCAAGGGTAATCACTAGTATGCATGAGTCTCACATTTACTGACTGTCGAATCTAGTGCAGGGAGCATGCAGTTCCACTCTAAATACACCAAACAAACTAAGTCAGGTTGTCTGAGCCCAGAAAATTAAGGGAAACCACACAGATCATCTTCACAGGCTAAGGACTAGTAGGAAAAAAATCAACAGAAAGCTTTGCTATTTGGAGTTCCTCTACTGTTTCGTTCAACTCAACAACTAAATTCCATTTTCCAGGCTTAACCACTTCCTAATATGGTTTCAACAACAAGGCTTCTATTTTTTGGCTGTTGCCTATTCCTCTGTCCTCATTTCTTTTCATCCTCTCCCTTATTTGCTAACTTCAGCCACTCTGCTCTTCTAGTGTCTTGAACATGATAAAATCATTCCTACTTTTAGAACTTTAACACCAGCTGTTCCCTCAGATATGTTCATAATTTGCATATTTAATATTTATTTAAAATACAAGCCTAAATATTAATTCCTTAAAACTAAGGTGACTCTACAGACTTCTTTATTGTATTACCAAGTTTTATATTTTTGATTGAATCATTACTAGTTGGTATATTCTTTTAAGTTAATCTGCCTATGTTTTTTTGTCTGATTCTAGGGAAGGCAAAGGCTTGCATGTCCTCTTTATCATGTCCCCAGTCTCTAAACCACTTAAACATAAGTAGGTGGATATATTATTTATCATAGTATATCATATAGTATACTGTACATAAATACAAAATACATAATGCATAGACTATACCACCATACTAATAATTAGCAGTTTTAGATTGGTTCTGAGAATTAAGAACGTGAATAGAAAGCAGATCGATCCACTCATTGTCAGCAAATTCAGTGACTGAGGATGAAATAGGAAGTGATAGATGAAATAAGAGGCATAGAACCAATTAAGAACATCATCTCTTGCCATCAGGCACGGTGGCTCATGCCTATAATCCTAGCACTTTGGGAGGCCAAGGCAGGCAGATCACCTGAGGTCAGGAGTTCGAGACCAGCCTGACCAACATGGTGAAACCCCATCTCTACTGAAAATACAAAAATTAGCCAGGCATGATGGAGTGCACCTGTAATCCCAGCTACTCCAGAGGCTGAGGCAGGAGAATCGCTTGAACCCAGGAGGCAGAGGTTGTAGTGAATGGAAATGCGCCACTGCACTCCAGCCTGTGTGACAGAGTGAGACTCTGTCAAATAAAAAGAAAGAAAAGAAAAAGAAAAAGAAAGAGAGAAAAAAACGAACATCACCTCTAAATTGTGATTGCTTAGAAAAAGTAAAAAAATGAGCTGGGCGCAGTGGCTCACACCTGTAATCCCAGCACTTTGGGAGGCTGAGGTGGGCGGATCATGAGGTCAGGAGATCGAGACCATCCTGGCTAACACGGTGAAACCCAGTCTCTACTAAAAATACAAAAAACTAGCCGGGTGTGGTAGCGGGTGCCTGTGATCTCAGCTACTCAGGAGGCTGAGGCAGGAGAATGACCCGAACCTGGGAGGCGGAGCTTGCAGTGAGCGGAGATCAAGCCACTGCACTCCAGCCTGGGCGACAGAGCGAGACTCTGTCTCAAACAAACAAACAAACAAAAATAGAAAAAGTAAAAAAATGAAATGTTCAGGATTTATGTGAGGAGGATTGAGATGATTTTAGTTGTAGTTAACTGTCTTCAATCTTATTAGTGGGTCCCACCTGTCTCTATATAATATTGATGGACCCTTCTGAGAATAACACAGCCTTCTATCCACTCATTTTTTTCAAGCAGGAACGTTAAACACACCCCCGATAAAGCAATCCAAGACTGAGAAAATGTGAGTTTTATATACCCAGAACTTTCAGGTTTATCACCCTCCAGCACTTGTTTAATTTTCACACTAAATAATCATTTTGCTAAAAAGAGGAAATGAAATAGAGCTCATAGAGATGTTTGTTTCCTGTGTGTGTCACACAGCCCATTATTCTGTTATATTTAATCATAGGTTTCATATCTAAAGGGATAGAAAAGGGGGTTAAAAAGAGAGCTAGGTCAGCTACTGCACAACTTTATCATCATCGTGTCTGCATTTAAATTTCATAAGGTGTTTTCAGAACAACACTTTGTAAAGCATAATGCAAAGGCACCTCAGTTATAAAACTTGATGATATATATGTATGCTATTAGCTACCTCATGCTGAGAATTTTTCACTGTAAGATGTATCATATATATCATATATTCAGACATGTATATATAGTTTAAATAAGACTTATAAAGCAGATACTCACGTAACCACCAGTCAGAGCAAGAAGTGGTACAACCCAAGGCCCCAAATACCCTCTCCTGTGGCCCTCTTAGTCTACATTTCTTGTCTCTCTACTAGAGACAAATACT